>NC_000010.11:3646363-3797878 GCF_000001405.40 Homo sapiens | reverse complement strand
GATAAGATCTTCTGAATTGTCTAAGTGGGATATCCCTTTTATTCAGGAGGGGATTTCGGTTTTCAACAGAAGCACCACAAAAATTGGGCCCATGTACAAATTTGTCAGAATTTGTACTTCTGGTGGGACTTCTGGTGAAAGGAATCTCATTTTGGGTTCCTCTTGAAATACTAAGAAAGGTTAGAACTTTGCCTTTTCATTTCATCGTTTCTTTCTCTCATTCTTTCTCTCGCCCCTCTGTTTTAAAATGTCTTAGGCTTAGCAGGCTTTGTAAAACCCAGTATATTAAAATGGAAATAAAATAGATATCTATCTATTTTATATGCTAAGATAAAAGCATAACCATGAACACATGTTTAACTCGATCATTTTGGAGTTCTTGAACTTATTTGTTGATGGCATTCAGGGTCTCTGGTTTAAGTTAAAGAACCAGGACTATAATTGTGTCCCCATTCTCTCCAGATCCCACTGAAATAAAAATATAGCATTACAAGAACCATATAACAGGAATTGAATAGGGAGTCACTACCATACACAAGACTTCAATAAGGTTCTAGAAAACAGAAGGTGGGTGGCAGAGGGTTACACAAGGTTAGCAGGCCAAGAAGTTTGCAGTCTGGGGGACACAGAAAGCAGGTTTCAGAAGAGGTGGGCCTCAGTCCACCCAGGAAGCCCTGAGATGTCTGTGCTCAGATCAGCATACAGACTGGAGTACAGGAGTTGGAAAGGGCTGAAGACAGAGGAGCAACTGAAGTTCTATCTGTGGGGCAATTGTACCAGTCAAAACCTCACCCTCTTTCCCCTTTTCCACCCATCAGCCATGAAGCTCAGGCATTTATGTTCCAGCAAAACACTCCTCCCAAAAACACTCTCCCCCAAAGAAACTAGGGAAAATGTTGGAGACAATAGCTTTCATTGGTTAAATTTGCAGCCCGTGGCCAGCTCCCTGCACACATACTCTAAATGATTTGCCCTTTACAGAGTCCTGGATAGAATTCCTACCATGAAGAGGTCAGTCAGGATGAAGCCTAGGAAACCATAGACACCGATGTATCGCCAGCATAAAAGAACCAGAAATGAGAAAAACTAACCAGAAAAGCCAAGTGAAACACAGAACTGAATCTGAAACACAGTGGAATTATCTTCAAAGGACCAAGAGAAATTTATACCAAGATTTCTATATTCAGTGAAATTATTAATGAAGCGTATGAGAAGATTTTAAAAAATTGAGAGAGTCAAAGACTCAAAAAGGCGACCTTCCACACATTCCTCAGGAAGTCACTACAGGATGTACTCCAGAAAAACTAAGAAATAAATCTAGAAAATATGAGAATGAAATTCACAAAAAGTGGGGCACCCAGGGTCAACCTTAACACATGAGTTAAGCAAGCTTTGACTGGTTGTTTGTAGTGTAGAGGTCTCTGTTCAACAGTCCAGTAGATTTTCCTTCAAATTCTTCACATGCAATGAAATACAAAATATTTGACATTTCTGAGTTGGCATATAATTTATCCCATGGATATGTACTTACTCAGGACCACATCATACATGCTGAGTTTCCTAAGTGCAGACATTTAGAATGTGAAATTAAATCTGCTGTGACTTATGAAGGATAAAAGAGTCAATGTTTATTTAAATTTTTATGCAGGCACAAAAAAGAATGAAAATGAAGCAAAATCATTAAGGGATTAAAAAATTTGTGTCCCAATTGGCAACAATCAGACAATACTTTGAAGTTCCATCTTTAACCCATGGATAAATTCTGTATTCATGCATATAGTCATTCAAGAATTCATTCATTCAGTAAGTATTTATTGAATAGCTGGGAGAGTCTAGACATTATACTAAACACTGGTCTTAAAAAGGAATACATACCCTCTTGTGTTCAGGCTGTCAGAGGAGACAAGGACATAAAGCAATAACTAAAGCCAGAACTGCAAGAAGAAGGTAGAGACACCATGGAAATATGAGTAAGGTTCATTTGTTTACTTAAATAGTGTATTACATACTTGCAGGTGCTTCAAACCTGAAGACCATCTACCAGTTTCCCCTCCTTGTGAAATTTCCTTGGAAAATGTTTAGTGATTGCTAAGTTTTTAGAAGGCATTACTGGTAGCTCATTTTATTTAGAATATAGTCAACCAAAATAAGATTAAAAGTATTCAGGAGCAAATATAACCATAACTTATTTAATTTACAGGGGCAAACTGTATTCTTACTTGCAATTGTCAGCTTCAATTCTTTTACTCAGCTGTAATTTTTTTTCATGTTCTCTACTTCTTTTTTTTAGCAACTTAATGCTCAGTGACGGGTTTTAGATTCATACCAATGTATCAATCACTAATCCTTGGCGATCCTCCTTTTTCTTTTCACCTTCTTATAAAGTCTAATAGTTCTGAATCTTAATTTCTAGAGGCTGTTTTATAGACTAATAGATAACACTAGTACTTTAGGAGGGAAGAGAAACATTCACAAACAGCTGTAATACAAGACATACAAGACAACAATACCCCTATAGACAGGCAAAAACTCAGGGAGTTTACCTCCCAAGCACTGTTCTGCAGGAAGTTAAATGAGTTGCATTTCTGACTCAAGCTATCAACTCTGTCCACTTCTGCATGCCCCATAGTGGCAACGGGATGTGGAGATGGAAGTCAGTCCCTTCCCTTAGAAGCTCACAGACCTAAGAGGAAGGCACAACAATCCACCAAGACTGCAGGATCCATAGCGCCCAGGGAGACCAGTGTGGAATCCTCAGGATCCACAGTGAGAGCACCGGATGGTTGCTGCAGAAAGTGAGGGAGGACAGCGAGGGGGGATGCTGCTCAGGGCACTGGGGAAGTCCAAGGGACAGGTGCACAGGCTCTCAGTGAATGCAAGGGAGGACACACTCCTGGATAACTTAGAAAGGCACGGAGGAAGCGCGGCATTTGGATGAGTGAGCATCCCTGTGGGGGTCCCACAGCACTTCCTAGTGCCAAGCGCATCTGGCCCGAGAGCACAGTGAAGCAGTAAAAGGTCCTCTGCAGGCCTCGCAGCCCATGGTGGCCTCCTTGGAGATGGGACTATGGCTCACCTCATCTCCCTGGTACCAAGTTCTAATGATAATCACTGGAAACAAGTATGCAACCTTCTCTTTCAGTTCTCTTTGTTACTATTACACAGTGGTGGCTGTGCCTCAGCCTCTGGGCTCCCAGCCCCGGGTTCAGATCCCGGCCCATTACTCTGTCCAAGGCGGCAGAGCTGCCCTGTGAGCTCCTGGACTCCCTCCTCCTCTACCAGCCACCTGACAGTCAGGGACCTCAGGCATGTTAGTTCCTCTCCCCCACCTCAGTTTCCAGGTCTATATAGCAGAGATCATGGTGGCATTTATCTCAGAGGGTTGCACTATGGAACACCCACTGAGCGTCACCTTTCCTTATGACTTTTCCTTACCAAAGCTGGGTGGCTGAGCAAGCTAAATACTTGCTGTGCCTCGGTTTCCTCATTACTCACAATGGAGGTGGTGGGGCCATCCTGAGAATTACATTAAATAATCCCTGTCAGGTTACTAGGAAGTGCTGTGGTCATCACACCTGTTTCCATTGAGCCTGGCTTTATGGCACCAGCTTAAGATGTACTGTGATTGTCCACAGCTTTCTTACCTCTTGCCTATAAGATCTTGCAATATTTAATCCACTATCCTACTGCTAAGCATTATTGAATACACGTTAATTTATATGGTTTTGCTGAGTGTGGCAGGACAAAGAAATGGCCTCCCCAAAGATATCCATGTCAAATCCCTGGAATCTGTGAATGTGGCTTGACGTGGAAAACAGATCTTTGCAGATGTAATTAAATTCAGCATGTTGAGATGGGCGTATCCTGCATTATCCAAGTGGCCCTATGTCCAATGACAAGTGTTCTTATAAGGGAAGCGAGAGATACACTTGACACCCATAGAAGGGGAGGCAGCAACACGACCAGAGGAGATACTGCAGTGATGCGGCCACAAGAAGCTGAAAGGGGCAAGGAACAGATTCTCCTCTGGAACCTCCAGAAACAGCATGGCCCTACCCATGCCTCAGTGTGGATTTCTGGCCCCCAGACTGAGAGAATTCATTTCAGTTGTTTTAAGCCACTAAGTTTGTGGTGTTTGTTACAGCAGCCACACAAGACTAATACATTCTATTCAAGTACTAATTTTCTACTCTGACTCATTAGATGCCTTAAATCTGCATAATATAGCTATAATTAGTTACAAAGACAGGGATTTTAAAGTTAACTCCAAAATAACCTGGCTTTAAGTCTTCCTCTCGGCATCAACACAGGTTTCAACAAAATGGTTCAGTCGAAATTATGAGACCCTGAGCATGGTGAGCAAAAATGCCAAGCCTGGAACCAAAGGAACCCCCGACAAATCCTGGCTCCTCTCTTCATCTCCCTTTCAGCTTCAGTCTCATCTGTACAGCAGGGTGCTCAATAGAAATGGCCCCCATGGTGCGCTGTTGGGAGGAATAACTTAGTACCAAATAAGGGCCTGTAGAGTGCCTGGAGAGCAGGTACAGGCAGCAGGCATAATTATTAGCCCATCTTATAGGCTAGGAAACTGAGGTTTAGATGTGCTGGATAATTTACCCAAGTCCCACGGCTATTAGGTTTCAGAATTTGGAGCCAGAGCTCATTAACCAAGGTGCACTGCAGCATGGCTCCTCATGTTCCCTGCTCTAGCATATTTCCCCCCCTACTTCTTATCAAGAACATTTTCAAATATAAAGAGAAGTTTAAACGATCAGTAAACACCCAAACACCCTCCACCGGGATTCGAAAATTACCATTTTACTATATTTGCTTTGTGGCACATAAATCCATCCACCCATGCATCAATCATGGATCCATCCTTCAAGCCATCTGCCCCTCCCTCCTCCTCCTCCTCTTGTTCCTTCCCCTTTCTTTCTCTCAGTTTCTTGAAGTTTCAAAGCATACGGTATGCCTTAGCATGCTTCCCCTCTGAACACTGCAGCTTGCATATTATTACTGTGAGTTCAATATTTGTCTATGGCTCTCTTCTTTTTAGTGGGGGAGAGGGAGGTAAAATTTGCAGAAAGTTAAATGCACAAGTCTTAAGCATACCAGCCAATCAGTTTGGGAAAAATGCAGTCTCCTGTGCAACCCAAACCTCTATCCAGACATTAAACATGCCCACCAGGTCAAGAGAGCCCCCTCATGCCCTTTCAAGTCAATCTCCACCCCTGCTCACCATGGCAACTGACATGCTGGTTCTTTCCACTAAACATCAGTTGTGCCTCTTCTGAAACATAACCAAAATGAATCTTGCAGTAGGCATTCTTGCATGTGAAGCTTCTTTACTCAGCCAACTGTATCTGAGACACACTCGTGTTGCTGCAGGCTCTTCTGCTGCTGAGCAGCCTCACATCATACAATTCACCACATCTTCTGGTCATGGATTCCTGGACAGGCTCCACTTTTTGACTGTTCTGGATAAACTGCTATGAATGAGGTTGACCAAATCTCTTTGTGGCCATATTCTTTTAATTCTTTTGGTTAAATGCCTGGAAAATGGAAGAACTGAGTCAGAGGATAGGTGAATGTTTAGTTTTATTAAAAACAGCCAGACTTTTTTCCAGAGAGCTGGTGGCATTTTACCCTTCCACCAAGAGTTGAGGAAAGTTCTGATGGCTCACAACATGTCCTTGTCAACGCTTGGTATTGTCAAAGTTCCTACTTTTAGCCATTCCAGTGGCTTTTATTTCACATGTCCCTGAAGACAATAAATATTGAACACGGTTTTAAGTGCTTATGAGTCATTTGCATATCTTTTTTGTGATGTATCTGTTCAAATATTTTGCTTATTTTTAATTTTTTCAAAATATTTTTATTGTTGACTTCTCTATGTCATTTATATACCCTGGATACTTGTTCAATACTAAATGGATGTTTTTTGATTATTTCTCTCAGTCTGTGACTTACTTATTCATGCTGTTAGTGTTGCCTTTTGATAAAGTTTTAAATTTGATGAAATCTAATCATTTTTTTTTAAATTTTTGTTTGTGTTTCCCATCCAAGAACCCCTGTCACGATTTTCTCCTGTTTTTTTTTTTCTGAAAGTTTTGTAGTCCCGCTTTTTTATGTACTCTATCATCTGTCTTTACTTACTTGTCTGTATAATGTGAGGAGGTAGGGCTGAGTTTCTCTCTCTCTTTCCCTCCCTCTCTCCCTCCCTTCTTTCCTTCCCTCCCTCTCTCCCTCCCTCTTTCCCCCTTTCTTTTCTTTTCTCTTTTCTTTTCTTCTCTTCTTTCTTTTCTGTCTCTCTCCTTCCTTCCTTTCTGCCTGCCCGTATGCCTCCTTTTCTCCCAGGTGTCCCAGCATCATTTGTTGAAGACTTTCCTGTCCCCATTGGATTTCTCTGGAACTCTACTTCTGATGTATGGAAAAAAAGCCATAAGAGAACATTGCTTCCACCTCACTGACAAGAAAAACTCAGCTAGTCTACAAAATCCTATTTTTCTTTAGCCTATTAAAGAGCAAGGGCCACAGGCGCCCGAAACACCTGAAGGGAAATGGTGCCACAGATTGTTTTGCCTTTGGAAAAGTAGAAGGAGGAGCTGCCACAGAAGAAAGCAGCTTCCATTGCAATAATCTGTTAATGGGTAAGTGTGGGCTGGACCGCAGTTTGGAATAAATGGGATCCTATTCTCACCTACAAGCTCTTCTTCACTGGCTTCTACCAGGTGCACACAGGGAAGATCGGTGGGTAAGGCAGTAGGCTCCAGAGCCCCCACCTGCATCCCTAGACCCCTCCTGTAAGGAAGACAAAGCCTCTCGGTGCAGGACGGCCGGATGCTCCCTCAGACCCAGGTCCTGCATGCCAAGAAGCAAGGGTCTTCTCTTCCCAGAAGATGGGCAGGAAACTCCCTCCCACCTACCACCTGTCCTCTGACAGATACAGATAGTTTGGCTGGATGAAGGAGAGGAGGCAGGGACACTGAGAAAGCTCTAGCCCGAAAGCCCAAAGGCACAGGGCCATCCTGAGATCAGAACTTAAAACACACCCTCCCCTCTCCAGGGGCCCATCTCCTCACCGGCACACTTCCATCACAACAGGTGTGCAGCAATGGTCAAAGTGGGTGTGCAACAGGAGCACTGAGGGGCACCCAGGCACCCCAGTCTCCATGTTAATTGCAAGGTAGCAGCAGCCTAGTGCTGGAGAGTTTTAACAAGTCTCTCATGCATGGAAAGGAACTACAACAATGACAAAACCAAAACCTAGCTCAACTACTGACTGACCAGGCAGACTCAATCCCCAGACCAGGGATTGGCAAATTACAGTTAGCCAGCCACATTTGGCTTGTCACTTGTTTTTGTAAATAAAGTTTTAATGGCACACAACCATGGCTATTCAATTACTTGTTGCCTATGACTGGCTTAGGGCTACATTCACAGAATCAACAAGTTACAACAGAGACCCTGTGAGCCACAAAGCCTAAGGTATTTACTTATGTGGTCCTTTACAGACAAGAGTTTGCCAGTTCCTACCCTATAAAAACAGCTAGAGAGAAGGGATGTGCCCATTTGCAGGAGAAATTTCTACTTACGTAAGTCTCTACTATTCTGCTCAACATATGTTCCATTTAATCAAATGTTAAGAGCCACACAAAAAGCAAGGAAAACAACACATTGTTAAGAGACAATCAATAAAATTGGGCCTAGAGAATTAACAAGACACTGAAACTATCAAAGAAGGACTTTAAAATGGCTGTGATTAAAAGATTAAAATAATCTAGTGGGGAAAATGTAGATAATGAAAAGATGGGGAACTGCAGCAGAAAGAAACTACAAGAAAGAATAAAATGGAAATGTAAGCAAGATAAAAAAATACTATCACATCTAAGGAATCCCTTCAATGGTCTCATCAGCAGACAGGATTCAGCACAGGAAAGAATCAGTGAATCTGAAGACAGGTCAATAGAAATTATAAAAAAAGAAACGCATTCAGGAAAAAGAATGAAAAAATGAAATGGAGCATCTGAAATCTGTGGAACAATATATCCAACTGTTTAGCACGTGTGCAATTGGAGTCCCAGAAAGAGAACAGAAAGAGAATGGGACAGAAGACATATTTGAAGTTACAGTGATCAAGAACTTTCCAAGATTTAATGAAATACAATAAACCACAGATACAAGACCTCAGTAAACCACACAGGGATAGGTTTAGTACCTTTTTGAAAATTTTTTTTTAAAAGTGTATAAGAATGATGGTATTTCTGAGCTCTATATTCTGTTATATTGATTTAACTGTATCAAAGCCAATGTCACACAATCACGTTCAATTTTGCTTTAAGTCTTGAAACACATAATATAAAACTTTCAACCTTCAGGACTGGTTTAGGTATAGCTCTCTTCAGCATTTCCTATACATTTTTAAATCAGCAGGACAACTTCAACAAAAAAGCCTGCTGAGATTTTGATGGGAAGTGTGTGGAATGCACAGACCACCTTGTAAAGAATGGGTATCTTAACCACACACGTGGTATAGCTTGTACCTGTGGATATTTCACAGGGAGCTCCTTCTGGAGGCCCTATTGTGAACTGAGCTTTACAGCTGTCCCATTTTACAATTATATTTTAAAAGAGGGCTACTAAAACAAAGGTCTTAGATAGACAGAAGTTCTCCCCGACCAATGCCCCAGAGGTATCCTGTCATTGTACTTATTACCTTGCCTATGTTGACAGTAAAATTCAACATCTTTTGAAAACTATCAATAGGGCATTTTCCTTCATTATTCTAAGCAAAAATGGTTAAAAAGTGAATCTACTACACCTTACATGTTATGTAAAAACGCTAGGGAGAGAAAAGGCAACTCACTATTTAGATAGAACTATCTGCAAATGAGATAATTGAGAAATGAACATCACAGGGCCAGGCGCAGTGGCTCATGCCTGTAATCAAGCAATTTGAGAGGCAGAGGCAGCCGATCACTTGAGGTCAGGAGTTCAAGAACAGCATGGCCAACATGGTAAAACCCCATCTCCACTAAAAACACAAAAATTAGCCAGGCGTGGTGGTGCATTCCTGGAATCCCAGCTACTTGGGAGGCTGAGGAAGGAGAATTGCTTGAACCCAGGAGGCAGACGTTGCAGTGAGCCAAGATTGTGCCACTACACTCTAGCCTGGGCAACAGAGGGAGACTCCATCTCAAAAAAAAAGGAACATTTTACACTTACATAGGCTCTATCATGTAAATATTCAGAAGTACTTTCTTAACAATTATATTTTGCACACCCAAAATAAACAGATGAAATAAAAGGGTAGTTTGCTCCAAAACAGGCAATATATTGGTACAGACACCAAAACCAAAACAAAACAGAACAACAAAATTGGCTTCTTGCCCCAAAATTGGAGCATTCTCTGTCAATATAATTAGGGGGCATTATTGGAATTATCCTCAGAACAGATTTGTAAGACTTCCCCCAAGAGCCCGTCTTGAATGATCTAGAACAGGAAGATCAAATGTACTCAATACCAACATGTTATCCCATTAATCTTTAAATTAAATTTAAAATTAGGTTTCAAATGTATACTTTTATTTTTGAGAGGCAACAAAGAGAGCTTCCTGGTATGAAATAAATGAGCACAGCCTGGAGGTCTAAGAGGAGAAGAAAAACAGTGGAGGAGGGCATGGAGGCCTAAGTGGGGACTGAGGAAGTAACAGCGGGGTGCCAGGGGGGTGAAGTGGCCCCCAGGAACGTCGAAAGGAGCCTACGACTGTCACCCAGAAGGGATCTTGACCTTTTGAAGATAGTGGCAGAGACAGGAGTGGCTCAAGGTGAGCAGAGAACAAGGGTCACGTCCAACAAATGGAGCTGATTATTTTCTCTCCAAGACTGCGAGAGTGAAAACAGAGCAGGGCTCTTCAGCGACCGGCAGGAGAAGGAAGCACCTGTGGGATTATTGGACAAGTCGAGGTCCAACTCTTGTCTCTGATTTGCTTTGTGGCCTGCAAAGTTGACTTCATTTTTCTGTCTGCATTCACTCATATGTTAAAAGAAGGGTGGGGGATTATAAAATAATTACCAAGAGCAAACTTACAAATGGCTAAATGGTGAATAAGTGAACACTGCCTTCAATTTATTGAATCACTACTATTTGCTACCAAGCAGGAATTTTAATCCATTAACTCTTCTGATTATACTAAACTCATTCTAATAGTCATTTTAATCTCCTATTTAAATAACGTGACCAGGGCCATGCGCACAGCATGGACAACTAAAGTGTAAAATCCATCATCTTTTTATATCCTGCCATACTTCCCCCTTCTGAATTAATCTGGCCCTCTACGATTCTTTGTTGCTCTTCTTAAAAAAATCAGGCGCAACTATTAGTGTTCAGATGCGATGCATATTCTTTGTCACATCAAAGAAAATGATATTTTTTCACCAACTGGTTACATGCTTACTCGTAATAAGGACTTTTGTTTTCAAACATCTACATACTCCTGGCAGCCCACCTCTCCCACACCGTAATAGGGATTTGTGCCTGTTTTGTAAATTTCTGTGTACCAATACCTGGCCATTCATAGGGTGTGAGTAATGTGTGTTCAATGGTCAATGAGCGCAGCAGGATGCCATAGGATCTATTCTATTTGAAATTTAGTGTTCATATGTACCCTGTTTTCAAATCTTTTTTTTTTCTGAAAATGACAATGGCCATTGTACTGTATCTGCATTATGACTAATCAGGTTCCCTCTTGTAAAAATAAACTATATAATCTTCATAGTGCCGGGCAAAGCATGTTAAGAGACAAGGATGAATTTAAGTTCTATAGGAATGTGGATTTATTAAAAAACATTAAGACAATAATTAATTGTCCCAAAGATAAAATGGGACACCCTCACCAGGACGCCCACACGCCTTGCAAAGACAGCCGTCCTGTCCTCCCTGGCCCAGACAGAGCCTTCCCCCTTCATCTCGGGCTCCCCCTGATCCAGCGTGCCTGGCCCTCAGCGGGGGACTTGCTCCACACTCCTGCTTACTTAGGAACTAGCGGGGCCAAGGTCACAAGCGCTAATTACTGAGAGAACCCTGCCCCCAACACAACGGCTGCCCAGATGCTCTCGGCTGCCAGTCACTGGGCCCCGGTCAATGGGCGCTTGGGCAAATCTGTGGATGGTTCAAAACAAAGCCATTTGCATTCCTGGAAACAGAGTTAAGGTGCAGGTCCCCAAGAAGGGCTGGTCCTGGCTCTCAGTTGCTGGGGTAAATGTGATGAACACGAGCCAAGAACACTGTCAATTCACTCTGCATAACCTTCACCGCCCACATACCGCAGGTACAAGACAAACCTCCTTTCTCCACTCCAGACTCACTAAGGTCCCCACCTAGTCTTACAGCCACATGCTTCTGCCGGACCCTCTAAAACTTAACATACAAAACCCTCTAATTTTTTTTTACATAGTCCATTCTTTCAAAATGTTTAATGTTCATTAAACTATTTTGAAACAAAAACTATAATACAGTTACAATTCAGTTTTCCATTTTGGATTTTAAAATGCTCTGGTTCGAGTCTCGACATTTTTCTTAAAAATGAACATTACGGTATATTTTAGGAGATAATTTATATGGAAAAAAACACACACACTAAATGTCGGCTTGCACCTAAATTGTTTACACGTTCATGGGAAAACCTAGCTGTTAACCTTGGTGAGGGCTAAGATCGCCCTCTACAAGATAAACACGTTTCTCCCAATTCCAAGGGGAGCCTGCGTGCTCCCCTCCCCCACTCTGGTGGCCCGGAGGACAGAGGGGACCCTAGGACTGGAGGGGGACGGAGACGGGCTCAGGGATGGAGGGGGACAGAGAGGGACCCGGAGGTGGAGGAGGACAGAGAGGGGTACCCCAAGGTTAGAGAACAGAGGATGACTAGGGGGATGTAGGGAAACAGAGCGGCGCAGAAGAGGACAGTTGGGGACGGGGCGGCCCCGGGCATAGAAGGGGACAGTTGGCGACCGGGAAGCCCCCGGCGTAGAAGGGGACAGTTGGGGACGGGGCGGCCTCGGGCATAGAAGGGGACGGGGGGGAACCGGGCGGCCCCGGGACCGGACGGCCGCCCGCAGGGTGAGCTGCCGGAACCGGGGCTCGCGCGGCGACAGGGCCCGGCTTGGTGACCGGGACGGGCGTGGGGTGGCGGGACCGGGCAGCGGGGAAGAGAGACCGGGACTGGGGACAGGCGACGCGGCCCGCCCCGGCTCTCCCAGCCCCGGCTCCCTTAGCTCCGGCCGCGGGCGCAGTGCAGGGCTCGGCCGCGCACCTCACAGCGCGGACTCCTCCGGCGCGCGGCCGCCCGCGCCTTATATACCCTGCTAAAAATAGCCTGCGAGGCCACTTTCCAATCAGAACGAGCAGAGTTCGAATTGAGCCAATGGTGCGGGCCGTGATGGAGAGTCTCGGTCACGCCAGGCGGGGCCGCTGTGTGTCGCCGCCTGCGATTGGCCGGAGCTGACATCATCGGCGCGCAGCCCCCGGGCCGGGAGCCACGGGATTGGGCCGCGCACGGGGCGGGCGCGGGGCGAGTCACGTGGGGGGAGGGGGAGTGGGGGGAGCCAGGCGGGGGCGGAGGGGGAGGCTGGCAGCGGAGCTTTGAATAGGGAAGTTTTGCAGGGGTTACGTTTGCAGTCAGTCCGGTGTTTGCAAATATTGTGTGGGCTCCGCGCGCTGCGGGCTGCGGGAGGGTCCGGCCGGGCGTCTCTGCGAGCCTGGAGTTTGCATGAAACTTTCACCTGCGCTCCGGGGAGACTTTCGGCTCCGGCTCCCACCGCGCGCCTCGCCGCCCTCGCGACCGCGGGCTCCGTCCAACCCGGCCCGACATGGACGTGCTCCCCATGTGCAGCATCTTCCAGGAGCTCCAGATCGTGCACGAGACCGGCTACTTCTCGGCGCTGCCGTCTCTGGAGGAGTACTGGCAACAGGTAAACGCAGCCGGCCGCGGTTCCCTGCGGGCGCCGGGGCGCGGGCCGGGTCGGCTGTTTGGGGTTCAGACCCGGTGCTCTCTGCGGTCCGCTGGGCCTGGGCCCCGCGCTGTCACCGGGGGAGCGGGCGCAGCGCCCCCGCCGATCGATCCTCCAGGCTGCGATCAGCGTCCGCCCAGGGAAGCCCCAACTCCCGGCACAGCCCGGCCGAGCCCCTGGCACGAGTTCGGAGCCTGTCCCCGCTCCAGACGCCACAGCTGGAGCTTGTCATGGGGACCAACTTGCTCTGCCTGCCAAGGTGTTTTTTTTTTGTTTGTTTGTTTTTTGTTGTTTTTTTTTAACGGATTTTGTTTTTGTTTTGTTTCTTGGTGCTTGTACTTAACAGTTTTTTAAAAAAATCACATTTTGCCCCCAGAACGTAGACCAGCTCTCTTTTATTTTTGTCTTTTTTAAACTGTAGACCATTTCCAATGTGTTTTCTGCTCTTTGGAATGCCTAACATTTCCCCTAGATCTGCCTTATTTGTCTTCCCTGCTTCTCTTGTTGACCAAGAAAAATAAAAATAAAACTGTGTACACCCCAGTGACTTGTCAGTCTTGTGACAATGAGCCCGTCCAAACTGCTTCAAGTCTTAGTTTGGAAAGAAGGACCTCGGTTTCCGACATTGTCGTAGAACTGGAATTTGGGGGCATTGGAAATTTAAGAAACTTACCAGGTCCCCGTGCTTATAGGTAGCATCGCCCGAGGGGAGAGAGACTGACACTCCTCCCATTGTCTCTCCAGCGATCGCAGGAGGGTTTACTGTTGTCTCCCTGCCCTGCTGTGCTGTTTGTTTTTCGTCACAAAGTGAATTGCCAGATCAAATAGAGGCTGTGGGTTTCCAAGCCTCGAAAGCTTTAAGGAAGATGAAATGCAGGGTGTTGCAACCTTCACACGCCTGCTTAATTGTTCACAGTCCTCTCCTGCCTTTTCCCCCTCCCCCTCCTGTTTTTTTCCTCCTCAAAGAAGCTGCTCCCTAGGACGTGATTGAAATTGATCTAAGTAGTTTCCTTCGGGCGTTTGGGATTTGGGCAAACGGCCAGACCTGGCTCTTGGTCGCCTTTGGAGGCTTTTAAACTCTCCGAGAGCTTCGTTCAGGTCCCGGGTGCTCATCAGCGTAATGGAGATTTTAAATTGGCCGGATTATTAAAGTTTAACAAGATCTCCATAAATGTGCTTTTCTTTTTTCTTTGTTAAATCAATAAAATACATCGCTGCTGCCTCTCTTCAGAACGCTGTAGTGTGCATTGTAACTCAGACGCCTGGTTTCGGGGGAAAGGGGAAAGCATGATTCTCCCGTGTGCTTGCTCCCACCGGCTGTGTGCGAGCCTGGGGAGGGGGAGGGATTGCCTGTGGCAGGAGAGAGGCACACTGCTAAGTCAGCCTGAGCCCCTGGGGTAGGCTGCGCTCAGGAAGGTCCCTGCCCGGAAAAATGACGTGCTCACCAGAGCCGTTTGGTGTAGAAACTGAAATCTGTAGAATTGCCAGTAGTATAGACAACCTTATATGGACATGCAGGCAGCTGATCCTCGTGAAAATCAGGGCAGACATAATTTAATCCTAAAATGTTTCCTACCATTTTTCTTTTCCAGTGGCTAGAAAGTTTGAAATGGTGGGGAGAGGGGATGCTGATCTCGGCAGTTGTAGCTTCTTGAAAGGTTGGTTGCGGGGCTGGGGAAGGGGTACTGTCCATGCCACACTGCATGTCCATTTGAGCTGGGTCCTTATTTGGCTGCTGATGAGAATTTCAAAAGGAAGTCTCCTTTGGCATTGCGTGAAAGAAATCAGAGTGATGACTCATGCAGTTGTACTCTTGGCCAGTAGATAAAGTTCTTGTTCATTGTGGGACTCCCAGCAGGGCCGTGGAGTAATTTCCCCTTGCACCCTTCACAATAGCAGATGGCCATGCTGGAATTATTTCTGCACTCCTGTTGTTGAAGTTCCTTGTTTTTCTCTGACCACTGTAGAAGTAATTAAAGTTCTGTGTCATGCAAGGGCCTGCACTTGGGAACGGCATTCTGTGAAAACATAGGCGGTCTGGGCTACACAGGAAATGGGTGGTTTTTCTGCAGCTCCATTCGATGCCCCTGAATACAGACAGCTGCTGTCTCCTCTCCCCCGAGTGTGGCCCTGTGTTGTCAGCCGTGTCCCCAAGGGGGTCCCTCAGAACACGCTGTGTGCCGTGCAGTCTTTCTGTCCTGTGTGGGTATCTGTGGAGTGTGAAGGGTGGATGGCTGGGGCTTTCCTTAAAACACATGGTTCTTGACAATGTCAGATAATCTGGTTGAACCTGTTGGGGAGGAGTATGTGTATGGGGCCGGTTCTCTTCCTCTGGTTTCATGAGAAACATCAACACTGGTAACTACAACAAAAAAACCGGCTTAGTGATCATCACTCATTGTGGCCCTTGGCCCAACATTGGGAAAGCCAGGAGAGGTTTCACCCTCCGACTTTTCCTCTGAATTCTTACCATTCTAGAAACAGATTTCCTCTAACTTCCGTAAGGACACGGATGCTTAATTACAAAAGGTTTTGCCCCTGTAGTGACCGGGCAGCAATGTTATCTGTCCTTCATTCTTGCATGTTTTTGGAAATTGCTTTTGCTTTTACTTTTGGTCGTCATGGCAATCACGTGCCTTCTCTGGTTCATTTTGCACAGACCTGCCTAGAGCTGGAACGTTACCTCCAGAGCGAGCCCTGCTATGTTTCAGCCTCAGAAATCAAATTTGACAGCCAGGAAGATCTGTGGACCAAAATCATTCTGGCTCGGGAGAAAAAGGAGGAATCCGAACTGAAGATATCTTCCAGTCCTCCAGAGGACACTCTCATCAGCCCGAGCTTTTGTTACAACTTAGAGACCAACAGCCTGAACTCAGATGTCAGCAGCGAATCCTCTGACAGCTCCGAGGAACTTTCTCCCACGGCCAAGTTTACCTCCGACCCCATTGGCGAAGTTTTGGTCAGCTCGGGAAAATTGAGCTCCTCTGTCACCTCCACGCCTCCATCTTCTCCGGAACTGAGCAGGGAACCTTCTCAACTGTGGGGTTGCGTGCCCGGGGAGCTGCCCTCGCCAGGGAAGGTGCGCAGCGGGACTTCGGGGAAGCCAGGTGACAAGGGAAATGGCGATGCCTCCCCCGACGGCAGGAGGAGGGTGCACCGGTGCCACTTTAACGGCTGCAGGAAAGTTTACACCAAAAGCTCCCACTTGAAAGCACACCAGCGGACGCACACAGGTCAGTGCCCACGCGGGCCCCGGAGGGCGGCCGCTGGTGGGCGCCACTGCATTGCACCAGCCCTGGAGGGAGCCGGGCCTGGCTGCACAGGATGTGGTCAGGGCAGACAAATCCTCACTTCCTCAGATGTTTTCCACCAAAGCATTAGGTCTTTTTGGAGTTCAGAGTAGAATCCTAAAGACTGGACTTTTGAGTTGGATAAATGTGTAACAATTTTCAGATTAAACAAACAAGAGACTAGATCCTTTTCTCCACGGACACCCAAACCTCCACCCCCCACCCCTTAGTAGTGCTGGGGATCCGAGGCCACTGCCCCTTCACCAGTGCACTCGCACGAGGCTACCTCGAGCGGCCCTGGGGTTTCCTAAATGAAACTCAAGGGTCAGGACAGAGGGTTGCTGGGCAGCGTGGAGTGTGTGGGTTTGATGCTGACGGCCCGAGGCCCGAGTGGGACCGGCCTGCTCTGTAAGCAGCAGCATTGATCAGCGAGTGTTTCCTGAGAACTTCTCCGTGTCTCATGCAGCCTTTGTTTCTGATACCGCTTGAAACAGTTTCTTAATGAAATGCCATACCTAGGTGAAAGTGCTATTTAAAAATACCTTGACATGTTCTAGGATAATTGGTGAGGAATCACAGAACATTTAGAACTGGGAAGGGTCTTAGTGATCACGTGATGCAGGCTCTTCTCTTATCAGTAGGAGAGCAAATTGCTGAGAGTCAGTCCCAGACAGGCTTGGTGACAGCTGAGATTGAGATCCGGGTGGCCCAATATCCAGGCCCAGGCCTGTCTCAACATACCCTGAGATTGGCTTGACAACTTTGTTTTCTCAGGTAGCACTTGTAGTAAATTCATATTTATGATTTGACCAAGGAATGAAGTGAACCCAGTTGTTCAATTGCCATTTAGAGAATGATTCCGGGGCCCTGTACTGGGGCTTTCCAGAAGCTCGTAACTTCAGCTTTGTAGAAAGGTAGAACGTCCCTGAGGAAACTGCAGAGGCACATTCCATAGGGAAGTGAGGATGGAACAGAAGTGTGTTTGGGAGAAACAGTTGCCATGAAGAAAGCAATAGCTCTGCCTTTGCCGGGGCTGTGGGTCCGGCAGGCTGACACCTCATCCCGCAAGCATTTTGCTGGTCTGAGTCGTGGTCGTTCTTCCACGTTAACTTTGATGACAGCACCATGGGCTTGGCTGAAGCTGTGTCCCTTGGACAGCAGTGGGAGGCCTGAGACTGGGTCAGGAGAGAGCTGCTGTTGTCTCTCTGAGGCTGCCAGTTGTTGTGTGTTACCGATGCCAGAAGCCACTGGGTCCCTGGCCTTGCATCCCACCACTGTGTGTGTTGTTGAATTTCCCCTTTCCGTCTGCGGGTCAGTGAAGTCATGGGCTGCTTGTCCTGTGCTCTCTCCCCAGGAGAAAAGCCTTACAGATGCTCATGGGAAGGGTGTGAGTGGCGTTTTGCAAGAAGTGATGAGTTAACCAGGCACTTCCGAAAGCACACCGGGGCCAAGCCTTTTAAATGCTCCCACTGTGACAGGTACGTGCCTGAGGACAATGCTGGGCAAGGAGCGTGGGGCCTTGGGAATGTGATGACCAGGGTTGAGTAGGTGTGCAGGGCACATTCGAAGGAAGGCATGCAGTTTCCTATGTGTGAACATTTCTTTTCAAGCCTGGGACTTTTTAGAAAGTTTCTGGTGTGCTCATTGTCCATGGTTAGGAAGAACTGTTCCACATACACCTGACATTGGAGTCAGTTTATTGATATGTTTGGAGATTGGCCTTTCAACAGTTTTCATATTTGAAGAATTAGAAATGAAGTCCGTTCAGATTCTCCAAAGAACCTCCAGCCACTGGTGGGGGACATTCTTAATTCACATTCCTATCAGTTGGTATCTCCTGTCCCTGAAGACACTGATGAGGCTTGGGAGGAGAATCCCACCTTTCCCTGCAGGGGGTTAGGCTGGGCAGGGCAGGGAGGTGAGGGCGCTGGTCCAGAACACTGGCAAGGGATGGGAACCTAACTTCTTCTGTGCTTCTGATTTGCCCTTGCAGGTGTTTTTCCAGGTCTGACCACCTGGCCCTGCACATGAAGAGGCACCTCTGAGGGAGCAGAGAGGTGGATCCTGTAGGCTAAAAGGCTTCCAGGCTGAGAGCCGGCCGTGGAAGGAGGGATGCGTGTTCCAGCCAAAGCATGCCGTTCTGCACCCTACCCAGTTGCCTCCAGGGCCTCTCCTTGGAAGGTCTTTTGAGGGCTAAAAAGGTCCTGTAAGAAGCGGCATAGCACCCGTGGTGCATGGTATGTGGGTGACCCTGGACTCGCCACTGGTACCCGCCCTTCCGAGCGGCGCCTAAGCCTTTGCCGTGAGCATGCACACTGAGAATGCTAATGGTTGGGTTGATTGTATGTTGAGGATCTATTACTGACCGTATGATGAGGCCAACTTTTTTTCCTTGTGGTTAGCAAGACTGCAAGAGATGGAAAAAAAGTAGTTTGAATGTTTTGTGTGTAAGGAGTATACCATGAGATGAGATGACCACCAATCATTTCCTTGGGGGGAGGGGGTGTCTGCACCTTAGAAAAAAAAAGAAAAATCAAAAAAACAAAAAAACAAAAACAAAAAAAGAAGGAAAATCTTGGAGGGTGGGCGTGGGAACTCAGGACCCCAGAGTGGCGAGTGGTGTGGGGAGGGAGAGCCTCTCTCCCCCTTTTCTGTGTGAGAGGAACTCTTAGTGTCTGGTGCAGCTATTAAATGTGCAATGTGTCAAGTAGCTTGTTTTACACGCTACAACATAGCTCATTTGTAACCCATTGTATAAGCTGTGTATTTACAAATATAACACAACAATTTAACTTTTCCTTAGAATACAAAAAGTCATGCATGGTCTGGGGAACTATATGCTTTTCCATTTTTAAGTCAGGACTGCAATACTGATTCCAGTTAATGAGCAGCTAAGATCCAATCTGTCTAATACAGTGACCCCCTAGCCATCCGGGCCTGGCAATATACAATTTTTTTTCCCCTCCAAGTTTGTAACACTCCCCTTCCAGAAAGGCATTGTGCAACACAGGATTATTTTTAAATGATTCTGAATTTGAATTAACTTTTTGGAGAATTCTGTGATGCCCTTAGAAGAAATTGGACACGTATTGAGTGTCACAAAGCTGGGGCTGGGAATTGCTGGTCTAATGTTTCATTAGACTTAAGAACCTAAAATTTTTCTCAGTTGGGTGGATAAAACCACTAACGCTTAGAAACTGTTTTCTCATGCAGCTATGTTTCTCTTATTTATGCCTTGAGGACTAATTTCTGGTTTTCTAGCTGTTAATGCACTGTTGACCTTCATAATGGTGCCTTACGCAAGCGATCCCTTCTGTGGGGGTCTCATACAGGGGTGTGGGCGATGCATGCTTTATTAAGGCTCTTGTTTCACCTGGCAGTGTACTGTATCAACGTATAATACAGAAAAAAAATCTCTTTAAGGTCCTCCTTCACAAAGACATAGAGTGAAACTCCCTTTACATGTCAGTATTTGTTCAACACTTTAGGCAACTTGACTGTCAGTGTTAAAATGGAAAACAGGAAAATGGAAAAATCTGACCAATTCTGCCACCTTGAGACTTTCATATAGACCTTGCACAACAATTGTATAGATCACACACCGGCTGTATTTAATATGTAACATTTTCACACATATTAAAGATACAGAAGTATTAAAAAACCCCCAATGTTAATGTATTTGCTTAAAAGGCACAAGTTTCACATATCTGTCTAGCTATCTGTTGGTAATACAGAAAGTATACTACTTTTTTAAAAAAGTGGGCAGAATTCTTGTGTATGTATATTTGTGTGTACAGTATGTGTATGTGTGTATATATATATATTATATATATAGATAATATATAAATATTTTTTTTAAGGAGAAACTAGAATGTTTAGCTAGAAAATTCCACAGCCTGTGAAGAAATATTTCAAAATGGCCATAAAGGAGGTAAAAATGAAAACCATAACCTAACTTTTATAGAGGCTTTATCTTTAATTTAACGATGTGCGGAGGACTTTCTTGCTTGAATCTGTTCCGGGCTGTCTGCTCTGTCCATCAAATGGGCAGGTCTGGAATGGGGCACCTTCGGCCGTTCAGAAGTGGCCTGAACAGAATGCTGGAACCCAGGCTGGACTCGGACACACTAAGGTTTTGATTTTGAATTTCAGCCTTATTAGAAGATCTAACCTAAGAGTAAGCTAACCACAGGGATTCTTTTGTAGAACACTTTTTATGCAGATGAAGCTATTTTTTCCAGCAAGTAGATTCTTCCAGTTTTTCCAAGGAGTAATTTCCCCGAATTGGCATACCACGGCGTGGACAGCTGATATTTCACCCAGCTGCTGGCTTGTGGGTGTGGCTCTTTGCTTTATATATATATACACACATGTGAGTCTGGCTGGGCTGGTATTTTGTTTGATCTTCCTGGAAATGAGCAGTGACTAACGCTCACATAACTGGTTTTTTTTTTATCTGGGCTGATGAATACATTTACCTAAGAAACTCATTTCGTTTTACTTAAGAGGGGAAGTGCAGTTTTCTTTTGGCAGTTCAGAATCCAAGCACTTGATTTGCTGGGTTTGGAAAACTCCTTTTTTGGCCTTCTATGTGCTTAGCCATAACAATTCCATTAAGCAAGAAGGTAAGCAAAAGACAAAAAAAAAAAAAGGAAAAAAAAAAACTTGCACTGGCTTGTCTCACTTACGAAACATGTCGGAGCTGTTTGCCTGGGTGGGGCTGGGTACCGTACCTGTCAATGCCTGTGATTTTCATAATTAGCACGTACATAAAGAAGTAC
Organism: Homo sapiens; assembly: GCF_000001405.40. Classification (NCBI taxonomy): domain Eukaryota; kingdom Metazoa; phylum Chordata; class Mammalia; order Primates; family Hominidae; genus Homo; species Homo sapiens. Next base: position 3,776,802 of record NC_000010.11, on the reverse strand, counting down.
ATTCTGTTCAGGTGATAACTGAGCCTCAATCAAGCAGAAACTTTTTGCTTGAAATTAAAAAAAAATTTCTATTAGTGAAATTTCTTTTTTTTTTTTTTTTGGAAGCACCCTGTTATCTAAAGAATCTTTGTAAGATTTTTGTAAAATTTTGTTTTACAAGATTTTATTTGAAATTGTTTTTTGCAAGATTGTTATATTTCTGTATGAATGTATTTTTTATTGGAATAACATAAAAGAATTCTTATCAGCATCTTGAGTCTGGTTGTTTTTTTTGGGGGAAGGGGGTTGTTGGAACAGATTCCTCCTGCATTCATCACCCTGGCTTCCTCCTGGGGGCAAATCTTCATTGAGCAACCCTGAGAACAACTCACCGACCTCAGCCCCTTCCTCTTTCCACAGCCTGTCCTGGGAGCTGGAGAGGATGTCAGCGAGCCTGACATTGCCCTCCCTGAATGCATCAAATACTCTTCTCCAAGGACTGACAAAAACAACCCCCCGGCTGTGGGCACAGTAGGGAACCATGCCGGTTTGATCTTCCATTGCTCAAGCCAGGGAATGCATTGCAGAGGCACCTGCACAACGACAAACTTGAGTGTTTCCCTGCCACTTCTGTGCCTCCACAGCCTGCTCCAGTTCCGCAGCTAGAGCTGGGCCTACCTTCCCCAGCCAGCCCTGCCACACACCTGGCTGAGGCATGTCTGGGAGGGGTGGAGGAGGCAGAGGGACTCCAGGCCAGAGGGCTGTTCTCACAACCTCAGCCCACTCTCAGTCAAGGAGGGCAGAAAATAAAAGATGACATCACTGCCAGAGGAGTTACATCTCTTTTTTTTCTTTTAAGGCCAATAAGATACATTAAATGTAGAGTTTGTTTGAAAATAGGCAGCCTTTTGTTTTTTAGAGCAATGTTTAGCAAGTAATCTCAGCTTTGCTTTACTGTGTGGACCAGGACAATTTGATCCTTGTAGGAGTCCATTTTCAGATTACACTAAGCCAATCAGTAGCAATGGGGTAAATCAATGTGTTTCCGTGGGAACCAGCTTCTTAGTGTGACAACAAGGATATTCTACTTGAGGTGGCTTAAGCGCTCACTCCTCTCCATAGCTCTTCATTTTGCTAAACGTGGGGAATTTACAGTGGTTGCTTTTAATTTTATAATTGGAGAGGGGATGGATGTTAAGATGTGTGCCCAGACTAGGAATGTTCATTAATTTTCTTTCTATAACTGTGGTAAAAATGTCAGCAGTTTGGAGGGAGCTGTGGTAGGGCAGGACGTGGGGAGCAGACGACATTATTGCCGGGATTCGTGGGCGTGTTCTATCCCCAAGCACATGTCAACATGACTCATGGTTGGATTGCCCCGAATGTACAGTCTAAATTTAAAGTCTTGATAGTCATTCGCGGCTACTATTAAGACTTGACCACTTTGTCATGGAAAGACTATGCAGGACAGCTAAGTTATGTTCAAATAAGGCTGTTAGCGCTGCCGTGCAAGGAATCGGCTGCAACCTTAGGGTATTTATAGAAGTATAAAAAATTTCAGTCTGCTTAACAAATTTTTTGAAACCTAGCTAAAAGAAGAAAGGAAATGTTCTAGCTTGAACGAGCTGTGTGCTTTGGACAATTTGCTGAGCTACACCGACCCTCAGTTTGCTTATTGCTAAAATAGGGCTAGGTCACGTGGATCCAGCATTCTCGATAGCACTACAATTCTGTGGTGTGTAAGTATAGGGTGCACTTCAAATTACACGTTCGCCATCTTCAGAGTGCTGGCCTCAGCTCGAGAAAGCTTTCTCTTGTGCTACATGAAAGAATTGTTGAGGAAAACTGTGCTCAAATGGAAACTAGGACTTTCTCAGATTGCCCTTTGCCCGTCTAATTACAGTTAAGTTATTTAGACATTTGTTGCGTTATAGCATACCATTTTTTAAATTAAAATCACCATTTTTGAAAAGTGCTGTTGTAGCTGTAAATGGACCCAAAGTCTCCCAAGTGTCCCCACTTTACCGGCCCCGTTCCCTATCCAAGTTGACCTGAGTGCTCAAAGGACAACACAGGCAATCGGAGGAAAGTGTCTTCCTTTTCTGCTGTAATTGCTACGGAGAAAGAACACAGCTTTCACACCTAACTCCCCTCTTTTCTGTTAATATTATGCCACCAGGAGCTACTTTTAAACAACCATCCTTGCCAAACGGAATTACTTTCCTAGCAAAATTTCATGATGATGCAGATAATGGTGTCTGCTTCCTACTTCTTGTGCTGTAGATTACAGGACCCCAACCCCCAGGCCACGGATCGATACTGTTCCAGATCAGTGGTGGCATTAGCTTCTCAAAGGAGCATGAACCACCCTATTGTGAACCGTGCATGCGAGGCATCCAGGTGGCATGCTCCTTATGGGAATATAATGGCCTAATGCCTGGTGATCTAAGGTGAAACAGATTTATCCCCAAACCGTCTCCCACCCCCACCTATCCCTACCCTTCTCCACCCCCAAGTCCCACCATCCCTGGTCCGTGGAAAACCTGTCTTCCGTGAAACCAATCCCTGGTGCCAAGAAGGCTGGAGACCGCTGCAGTAGATGTTATATCTATTTCACAGATGAGGAAAACTGAGGCCCTGAGAGACAACACAACTTTCCTGAGGTCACAGCTAGGAAGCAGCAGGCTCAGCATACTGGTCCAGGTCTCTTAGATGCGAAAGACCGTGCTTTTTGTCACCATCCCACACTGCTGTCTCGCCCAACCTTTGCTGTTCGATCTGCAGCAGCCACCATAATATGACATTACATGTATGAAATGCAGACAGGGCTTTCTCGCAATTCAGAAGCACTCCAGCTACAAATTGTGCTGTAATCCTGAGAAAACAAAAGTAACCATTTTGAATTGCTTTCAAGATATGAGACAGATGGCACATATTTATTTTTAATGTTTAAGAAGATAGAGAAAGCAATTGGAGATGTGACATCCTGCATTAATTGGCATGAATCACCTAATGCACACAGTTAAGATACAGAGAGACGAAAATGAGGCCCATGCATCACGCAAATGAGGACCACAACAAAGTGTGTTTAACTAGATTTATTTTATAACAAGGTCTTTCTGTTTCTAAGTAATTTTAACGAGAATTCTCTAAACGTCTGTGGATGAAGAGACAAAGAGGAGAGTAAATATGGGTTCCACATGTCCTGAGAGAAGCCACGCCAGGCGGCACGATCACCACAGAATCTTAAAAGACAGATTTAACCAGAATGCCCATTGGCCTACGAGTCCCGTTCAGCTGCAGTTGCTAGGTTGCATTTACTTTCCTTTACATGATCTGTACAAAACACTGTAAGTGTGTGTGTGTTTGTATTTAAATATATGTGTATGTATATATAAAATGTACATACATACACACAAATACACATGTATGTATATACATTTTATATATACATATACAAATATATATATATACATATACAAATATATATATACATATACAAATATATATATACATATACAAATATATATATACATATACATATATATATATATATGTCAATGATCACATGATCTCTGGAATTATTTTTTAAACTAAGAGCCCCAATTCAGATCTGCCATGAACAAACAACGAGCTTCTTTCGAAGCTCCAGGGCTTGGCTAATGGGTAACTGAACACAGGGTTGCACGCCATTTTTCCAAGATTTGCCCTTTGTTGACGACAGGCACATTTATGGGTGACTTGCAGGTATCAACCAAGCACAGCGCCGCTCCCCTTGATTTCTTAAGTTTCGCGTTACCACATTTCATTTGGTTCTGCAAGATCTGCTTCCAGATGTGCAAGATAGTTAATGACATGCACTGACATTATCAGTTAACTCACTCCAGAGCCAGGCGGCATGACCCAGGTGGCATTTTTCTGTTGGTGAGGAGACAAGAAAGTGGGGCAGTTTGGGCTGCAGTAGAATGCAGCCTTCTGAATCCTTTCAGATGGGAATGGAAAATCCTTCACTATCATCCCCACCTTCCTTGTGCAATGTGCTATCCTCCCCAAATAGGTGATTTATTCTCAGGTTCAGAAGCTAGATCAAGTGGGCTTACCATGACACATATGTGTGTTTGCTGGGGTTTATTTTTATTTTTTTTAAATCTAACTCCTCATGGTAAATTGCCTTTGAGCAACATTCAAATATACAAATAATTGAGTTCATGTAAATTAAAGAGAACTTAAGTGTTAGCTACCGATTTAAAACAGTCAGCTTAGGATCCAAACTTCAAAGCCATGCATTCAAAGGCCATCGTGCCCTGCCATAAGGTGGAGATAGGAGACAGGAGCTGCTCCAGGATGCGTAGGGCAAGAGACCACTAGAAAGTCCCCCATTTCTTTTGTTGCCATTGCTTTTGGTGTTTTAGACATGAAGTCCTTGCCCATGCCTATGTCCTGAATGGTAATGCCTAGGTTTTCTTCTAGGGTTTTTATGGTTTTAGGTCTAACGTTTAAGTCTTTAATCCATCTTGAATTGATTTTAAAATTGACAAATGGGATCTAATTAAACTAAAGAGCTTCTGCACAGCAAAAGAAACTACCATCAGAGTGAACAGGCAACCTACAAAATGGGAGAAAATTTTCGCAACCTACTCATCTGACAAAGGGCTAATATCCAGAATCTACAATGAACTCAAACAAATTTACAAGAAAGAAACAAACAGCCCCATCAAAAAGTGGGCGAAGGACATGAACAGACACTTCTCAAAAGAAGACATTTATGCAGTGAAAAAACACATGAAAAAATGCCCATCATCACTGGCCATCAGAGAAATGCAAATCAAAACCACAATGAGATACCATCTCACACCAGTTAGAATGGCAATCATTAAAAAGTCAGGAAACAACAGGTGCTGGAGAGGATGTGGAGAAATAGGAACACTTTTACACTGTTGGTGGGACTGTAAACTAGTTCAACCATTGTGGAAGTCAGTGTGGCGACTCCTCAGGGATCTAGAACTGGAAATACCATTTGACCCAGCCATCCCATTACTGGGTATATACCCAAAGGACTATAAATCATGCTGCTATAAAGACACATGCACACGTATGTTTACTGCAGCATTATTCACAATAGCAAAGACTTGGAACCAACCCAAATGTCCAACAATGATAGACTGGATTAAGAAAATGTGGCACATATACACCATGGAATACTATGCAGCCATAAAAAATGATGAGTTCATGTCCTTTGTAGGGACATGGATGAAATTGGAAATCATCATTCTCAGTAAACTATCACAAGAACAAAAAACCAAACACTGCATATTCTCACTCATAGGTGGGAACTGAAAAATGAGATCACATGGACACAGGAAGGGGAATATCACACTCTGGGGACTGTGGTGGGGTGGGGGGAGGGGGGAGGGATAGCATTGGGAGATATACCTAATGCTAGATGACGAGTTAGTGGGTGCAGCGCACCAGCATGGCACATGTATACATATGTAACTAACCTGCACAATGTGCACATGTAGCCTAAAACTTAAAAGTATAATAGAAAAAAAAAAAGAAATTAACTGGGAGGAAGGATGGATTTGGGGTATTATTAATAACAATAATAATAATGTCTACCAAGTGCTCACCACATGCCAGGAATTCTAAGTATATTCATTAGCTCAGATGTACCTGACCACAGAGTTTGGGCTCTTAACTATGTTACCATTCTTTGTTGTCTAAAACAGAGTTCTATAAAGAAATACTTAATTTGGAGATTAAAGTTTTTTAAATCTCAAAAAAAAAAAAAAAAGAAAGTCCCCCATTTCTGAAGCGGCTCCCAGCACGTTCCCCTAGATCTGAGGGGAGGTACAGTAAGATCAGTGAACGCTGGACGGAGCCTCGGCTGCATGGAACAGTAATGTCCACAGATGGTACCAAAGAATGTCGCACAGACCTTCCGGCCTTCTTCGCTGTGTAAGCAGCTCCTTCTCAAGGCTCAAGGATGGCAAGGGGAGGGAGCTGTGGGAACAAGGCCAGTCCCATTCTCTGCCCTGGGAGAAAGGTTTATAGGATTTAAGAGGGGAAGGCATGCCTGCAGCTGCTGGGTCACCATTAATCAATTGTGCCCCACCCACTGAGCTCCCTGCACTTAGGGAATCAGAAATGTTGCCTTTTCAGGATGTGTAGGTTTAGTAACTGGATCAGGAAATAATCTATACAACAAACCCCCGTGACAGGAGTGTACCTATATAACAAACCTGCACATGTACCCTTGAACCTAAAATAAAAGTTTTAAAAACAAGACAAGGCACAAACAAGCAAAACAAATCAAAAACTTTAAAGATGGCATTCAAATAACTTGGGTTTATCAATTTAAAATATTAAAAATATTTGCAACTCTGTAACTTAAAACAAAAAAAAAGGTGGACGTATCTTCATGACCAGCCTAGGGTAACACCTGGAAGCCAGGCTCCTGGATAAGAAAGTGGGGAAGCTATTACCCAAGTACCCCACGGCCATTTCTTTAAGCTTGTGAGTTTCCTTAGAAACTTTGAGCAGTACTACAATCTAGGAGTTACTGTTTTTAAAGGATTGCTAAGAATGGCATTTGCAAAGAGTAGACATTTACCCTGAGCGAGCAATGAGGAGTCTTCCTTTATGGAACCTACAAGGAAAGATTGCACTGATTTCTGGCTTTGGGATTGTTACTTAGACCCTTAGAGCTGTGTTTTTCTTACCTCTAAAATGGGGATAATGGGAACCTGTTCAGGATTATTGCAGGATGAGAGGTAAGGTATGCAGAGGACCGAGTCCATGTCCTGAGACACGACACATAAGCCACAGCGGATCACAATTATTACGGAGTGGTGGATATTTACTTTTTAGGAAAATAATTCTTGTTTTTCCCATTGAATTCAGTTGAAAATGGATTTAGTTTTTAATTTGCAATAAGAAAGGTTCATTTGCATTTAGGTTTCACAACATGATTTTCCAGTAAATTCAGGCAAGGACAAGCAAAGAACACGATGCTGGGTTTGTATGATTTATAAGGTAGTTTCCTCTTGCAATGCTTGCTGTGCTTCTGAAATCTTGCAGGAAGGAAGTTCTGCAAGTCTTTGGGTAAAACTCTCTGTCAAAAGCCGAGTCATACTGACCAATGGCGGAATTGAATTGACCAATAGATTCAGTGAGTTGAATTCCCTGTGATTTTGACAAAAGACAAGGAACCCAGATGTCCCGAGTTACTGCAGTTTCCTATTTTATTATTATTATTACTTTTTTTTTTTAGACGGAGTATTGCTCGGTCACCCAGATTGGAGTGCAGTAGCGTGATCTCGGCTCACGGCAACCTCCACCTCCTGGGTTCAAGCGATTCTCCTGCCTCAGCCTCCCGAGTAGCTGGGACTACAGGTGCCCGCCACCACTCCCAGCTAATTTCTTTTTGTATTTTTGGTAGAGACGGGGTTTCACCATGTTAGCCAGGATGGTCTCGATCACCTGACCTCGTGATCCACCCGCCTTGGCCTCCCAAAGTGCTGGGATTACAGGCATGAGCCACCGTGCCCGGCCTACAGTTTTCATGAGTGGCTGTGAATCCAGAGATTGGTCTAATTCTTCTGAATCAGGGCACTCTGCTTAAGGCACCACCAAATAGATGTCTCACCGTGATCCTCTGGAATAATTGCATTATTTGTTACATTCTTTGCAACTAAATGAATTATGTGGGTAGAACACCACTTGAATCACAAAGTATCAGCCCGTGTGCTAGAAGCCAATTTGATTTGACAAAGGTTTGTCCAACGACAATTATTATGCTTATATTCAGATATGCTGTTTGGCTCATTTTATTTTGTTCTGTTTTGATTAATTGAATTTTGTTATTTTTGGTTGATTATTTTCACCACCTTTTTCCCTGTGTGCATAACTCCCACAGACATGCCTTCTACGCCATCATTATCCTTAGTGGAAATGAAATCCCAAATATTTGCAGAGGGATTTATGTTGTAGTTATTGTTGCTTTCAGTTGCTGCTCTTCGCTTGTTTGTAAAATAGTCTCACTGGCTGTTTTCTGGGTTTTTGTTTTTTTTCTTCTACTAATAAGTGCTTCCTTGGGGCCTGATGCAGGTGGCCCATCTGAGTAAAAGAGTGCTTGCTGTGAACCTGGGAATGGCTCTCCCCTGAGATGACCCAGGGTTGCACAGGGCAGTCGTCATCATCCTCCTTGTGCAGGGGTGACCCTCAGACACAGCCAATTAACCCACGCAGCCCTGCAAGAAAGAGCCGGGGTTATAACCAACTCATCTCTCCGACTACCATAATATACACTGTTTAGCCATTTTATCAATTTCTCAAATTAGATGCTGCAGAAGTCACAGGTGCACCTTGATGAAATATGTGGCCGAACCACATCTATGCCCTATTGTCTTCCAGTGGAGCCCATACTCACCCTCTCACCTCTAAGCAACGGAACCCCATGCCAACCAGCAATGGGCCATTCTGGAGCCAGGTACGCATTTTCTTCATTCACCCACACAGTAAGTAGTGGGTGTCTCCAGGTGTCAGGCACCATGCTGGAAGCCCCTCTGTCTCTTCTTGCATGTTGGCTACTTGCGGAGCGTGAGCCCGAGTGTGAGGCGCCTTTCAGCTTTTATGTATTGTTGACAATGCATGATGAGGGACCTGGTCCTTTCGAAGCAAAGGCTGTGTGTGTGTGTGTGTGTGTGTGTGGGTGTGTGTGTGTGTGTGGCCTCAGCTCAATATCACAGTCTTCAGACAGAAGTGGGCTCAGTACCTGCTTTCTTGCAGTCGTGACCATGATGGTCAGCGTGCCCATTCCACGTCCATGTGTGGCTCCTTCGCTGCTGCCTTCACAGCCCCTTCTGACTGGTGTGGGATGAATCAGGTAAGAAGTCACCAGGGCCATTCATTCTGGCCCCAGATCACACCTTCCCTGCTCAGAAATGACACCTGTGAGAGAAAGAGGCAGCGGAATGTCCCCATTTATGGACAAGGGTTGAAGTTTCTACCATAGAATACTCAGGGTAGAGCTGAACAAGGTACAAAGAACATCTGTTTTCATTTCTACTGCTTAGCTGTTGAGCAGTAGTGAGTGTCCGGTATGACCTCCCTGAAGCATAATGACGTTCCAGAAATGGATGGAATGTCCTGGGAGAGCCAGTGGCCACCTGTACTCTGAGCATCTTCACCCTTCTCCCTTCCTCCCTGGAGGATGAGTCCTTTGGACAAAGAATTGTGCATACAGTTGTCCCCCTTATCCCAGGGCGACACGTTTCAAGACTCCCAGTGGATGCCTGAAAGTATGGAAGCACCAAATCCTATATATATATACTATGATTTTTCCTATACATACCTACCTGTGATAAAGTGTAATTTATAAATTAGGCACAGTAAGAGATCACCTATAACATAATAAAATAAAACAATTACAACAATATACTCTAATAAAAGTTATGTGAATGTGGTCTCTTTCTCTTTCTCTCTCTCTTCCTCTCTCTCTCTCTAAATTTCTTCTTGTATTCACCTATTTTGAGACCTCACCTATTTTGGGACATCAGTTGACCACAGGCTACTGGAACTGCCAAAGGCGAATCCGCAGATAAGGGAAGATTACTGGATAAAATTTAATGGCTCTTGACTCCTCAGCCCCTAGGAATGCTCAATGTATGAATGAATGAATGAATGAACAATGAGCCTGATGTTGTCACTACTTTGCTCTCTTCTCCAACAGCATGGACGCATTAATTCTAAGCAGGATCTCTAAATAAAACCAGCAACTCATTTGATCCAAAATATCAGACCCCCTCTGGTTCCTGTTTTGCCTAGAAGGGTTTACATAAGACCAATCACTCATTTTCCATTTCATTCTCTTCCTTCTCCCCTTTCTCAGTAGATGGAAAGCCTATGGGAAAGACGACGTGGTTAGACAGCAGAAGACAATGACCAGGGATGTCCACACACCTGTCAATTCAGTTCTCAATAGTACAACACCAGGAAGAACCCCCACCTGGGAAAGAAAGGACCTGTGAGTGTCCTTTTATTTTGACTTCATATTAATTGAAAGGCTACCCCCCAAATTGACAAATGCATTTAATGCTCCAAGAAGATTCACAGGCCCCAGAACATAGCTACTCAGGGAAATGAAAGTGAAATCTTATTAAAGCACGTTTTTTGTTTGTCATTAAAATTTAAACAATCGGGTGTTTCGACGCATCACTTCTGTGCTAAATGCAAAACCTTTGTAATTCCGGATGTGAGTCTTTTGCACAGGAGACACACCTCGGGTTTTCCCAGATGACTCGTTAAAACGTTTACAAATCCCAAACCTCCTTTTTCACAAAGTGCTGCCTTTTCCTGCTTTTTACTTGCAAGCCACTTGATGTTTATTTGACTACATTAAAACAGAATGGTTGTCTTTTTTTCTTCAAGGTCAACCAGACAGTTAAGCTGTCACTGTTCATCATGTATTCATCTTAACGCAGAACATTGCAAAGTGCATGTTGTCTTTTTCCAGTTAAAGGTAACGTGTGATGCAGTCAGTGTTTCAGATGGAAAAATGGACTTTGAATCCCTGCGTCCCATCCGAGGGCAGACTGGGTCTGCCCCTCCTCCACCAGTGCAGTCCCCTGGGAGGGCTGCTGTGGGCAGTGAGTGAGGAGGCCAGGGCCGTGCCCAGTACAGTCCTGACGAGCCTCTGACCTCGCTCCACTTTTACCCCAATGGCTAACTTAGAGGCACGTTGTTTTGTTTCCAGTCCCACGTCCACCATTCCTTTTAGTAACTCTTTTCCATTTCATCACGTTTTCATGATCAGTCACAAGGAAATATTCAGATCTCAGCAACAAATTAAATGCACCGAAGCTCAAAGGCCTGGGTTCCAGAACCCAGCTCCCTACTAGCTCTGTGATGTGGGCCAACACACTACGTATCTGAAGGAGAAATTCTCATCTTCCTAAATTCGCGAGTTGGTGAGGAGCTCTCAAGAGCAAATGCATGGAAATGCACCTTTAACTGGGAGAATTGTGTTCAAATATGATGCAGCTGCTTCATCACCTCCCTCTGCTTCAGTTTGTCATTTGTAAAACTGGGGTTGAGGATAGCAAATGTGCTGGAAGATTGTCAGGATTAAAAATTGTATCTGCAAGGAGCTTAGCCCCAGTCCTGGCACAAAGGTGGGTGATGTATGTCACAGCCCCATGGGATCCAGATTGTAATTGTAATTTCTTCTTTGTAAAACAGGGAAAACGATTTAAAAAACTACCCTCCTACCCTTGTTGCAGGTGTACAGGACTCAGAAACAGAAAGATCTGGGGTGGGTCAAAAGCAGACACATGCACCCAGTTGGCATTCTCAGGATGTCTTGAGCCCTTCACTGTTTCTAGAAGGTGCCTGTGCTTTGCTGTCCCTGCCACCTGCTCCCTCTCTTCCATCAAGTTACCCTAAAATATGACAGACAGAAATGGGGACTGCTGGCTTTGGCCATGAAAACATCCGCCCGCTTCCGGCTTGCAGGGAATAACTTGTGGTTTCCTCTGCTGCACATGCAAGTCATGAAGACGATTTTCATCTTTGCTTCATCATCAGTCATAGCTCTTACGATCTGCCCACTTCTGAGAGTCCTTTTCTTAGAGAGGGACATGTACTGCTGGCAGAGGAGGAGCTCTCAGCGAAGAAAATGGCATTACTGAGCATTTGTTGAATTTTGCAGTGACCTCCTTGTTTTGAAACGATCAAATCAATCCTTATTTGTGTAACTCAGGAGTGCAGAGTGCATTGCCCACACTCTGTCACTGTGAGGGTCAGTGCTTGCTGTGGTTGAGGGATGAAGAAAACTTTGGATATCAAGTGGCCTCAGGGCAACAGAACAGGTTTTCAAGGGACTATCACCTTTCCCTAGCAAACAACAACAGTGGCAGCTACAAGGCAAATACGGAAATGATCTTTGGTGTGCACAGATCACAAAGTTTGCACCTGCACAATCGGCTGGTTATGAACTCGGAGAAATTTCTCTCTTGCATCCTGACTGTTCTTTCTTAGCCCATTGCCTGTGTGGTGGCCCATGCCAGCAGCCTCTTCTGTCCTGTTTCTACAAGTGCAGGGACGTTACTGACAAGCCCAGTCTCACACCCTGTATGGGCAAATGCCTAGAACAGGGCTTAAATGAGAAGACAGATGTGCTTCAGAGTCCAACAGATCTCTCAAATGCCAGCTCCAGAAGTTTCTAACCATGAGAACTGATTAACACATGGGAGCTTTAACCTCCCTCTTTCTAAAGTGGGCATGGGGATGTCTACTGCTCAGGTTTACTGAGAGGATGGGTGCAATTCTGTACTTGCCGTTCAAATCCAGGACAGCCCTGAGGCTGCTGCCCCAGATCCCAGGAGCTCAGGGTGCCTCTGTCTGCAGAGGCTGGAGAAAAATTTATCTCTTGGCAGAACTCAGCACTCAGCAAACAGAGTATTCTGCTTCAAATTCCAGTTCAATCCTGAGTTCTAGTATCTTAAAGATAGAGACCTGAGACCGTTCAGATATTGTGTCTAACTCCTGTAGAACTTAGAATCATGAAAAGATCCTACGCAACAGGTTCTGTTCAGTCCCTTGGCCAATTTCAGCATGGTGACTTTTTCTCTGCCTACGTGTCTAAAACACGATTTTTATTTAATCTTACATAATAAGATCACAGTGTCAGCATCAGAGCTGAGAGGAGAACTCAGGATTCTGGCTCCTATTCCTGCTTGCTTCCTACTGAATCATGTTCATCACAGCTTCTGTGACCTCAGAAACCTCAGGCAACTCACGTATGGGGAATGAAGAATGGATTGCAACAGCGTCAGCTCTCGCCTTATCTACCTGAATTTTTGACTTCCCTTGTTACTTCATGTTTATGCCTTTATTTCCCCTCCCATCATCCCTCCCCAAATCAAAGAGCCTTTACCTTGTATTTTATATATGTCCCAAACATAAGCTACCCTGGCTTCTAGAAAAATAGTGGCTGTGTACAAACCATCCTTCTGTGTGGCTGTCAAACCAGCTAGGGAACCCTCTGTTTGGCTACTAGATTTTTGCCTTGATCATAGAACATTTGAGATCTTTGATAAATGAATGGGTGTTATTTGAATTTTCTATATTTAAATTTATTTTTACACCCAGAAGCTGATCTCAAGCAAGACGTTCACATGCTAACTATTGGGTTGGGTGGCAGGCACCATTAAGAGAAGCAGCAATTCTCCTTCAGGTACTGTGGCATGAACAGAAAAAATAGTCATTGGCTAAGTTGTTGTTCTACATTAGGGTTACATGCTCATGACTGCAGAACACAAATGACCAGGATTTTAGTCTCACTGAGAGCAGGCTTTCATCCTGGAGCAGCTTTTGGGGCCCAGGATCTGACCTCTGCAGGGGGACTGAGCAAGGCTGCAGTGACTCACCTCCCTGCACTCGCACCCACAGATGGTCCTGAGTCAGAAGCCTGGCACCTGGGTCGGGCAGCCGGGTAAGAGTGTGCACTTTCATCGTCTATTCATACCCGTCCTGGGAAAATCTTTCCAGCCTGGGAAATGGCAACCTGACACGTTTCACCGGGACTCAACTTCCTGAGCGTATGCACAGAAAACCCCACACCCTTCACCTTTATTGAACAAGGAGGGAGCCCGATAAGAATCGCTGAAGAAACGCGGGGAGTGTCCCGCACAACCGGATGGGTGTGGCAGGCAGCGTGGGCGAGTAGAGTGACCTGGGGCGGAAGAGGTGTCTGAATTTGCGTGGCTCCAGCGGCTCAACCCCTCCGAGTCTTCAGTGCAGTATCTGTGCAAAAGAGAAAAGCTTTGTAGATACTCTCTGAAATCGGCACTGAGCAGATACCCATTTCTTTTCCTTTCGCATTTGCAGAATGTAATATTTCTAGGGGAGCAGAAAGAATTGGTTAGGAAAAGGCTGTTAAGGAAGGAGGTAAGTAGACAGAGACGGGGTTTGCTGGAAATAATGAGGAAAAAGCTCGAGGCCACTTATGCACCTGCTGTCACGATTCAGCTGGGACCTTCTGAATCATACGAACCCAGAAAGGACAGCTGTGCTGTGTGCGTTGTGCGAATGACCATTTGCTAGAATAACGTATCTCCAGAATAATTTGTTTAGGGGCAATTTTATGTGTGTACATGGTATTCACAAATGTTTTATCCCCACAGTTAATTCAATGCAGGGACAGTTAACCCTTTTTTTCCCAGGGAATTTGGGACTGACCTAAGGACTCTCTGGCCTCCACTCCTATTGCCACACAAGTTTCTGCTGAGGCAGGAACCACCATGCCTTCCAGGGACCTCCAGTCAAAATCAATGAAGTCTGCAAACAATTTCAACTGTAGTATTGTAGCCCCAATAAATAAAGAGCACTTATTAAAACATATTGACTCGAAAAATATTTGACATGGTGTGTTTGTAACAGGAGAATGGGAGCTCAGGCCTTTCTTCTCATTGAAGATACCTCCACTCACCTTGTTCTCTATGGGGAGAAAAACAAATGAACAACAAACAGATTTTGAAGCCACTGTCCTTTCTAACAGGCAGGTCAGTGGGAGGATCCTATGCAAACTGCAGGTACAAACCCCACCCCTACTTCCCAGGACGAACCTCAGCGCCCAGTGTCATTCTTCAGGAATTCCAGCTCAATTATTAGCATGAAAGAGAGCACTGAAGGCTGGAAATGGTCAGCTCCTTCTTTTCCAAAGTGCAGAAAACCATACACCTTTGACCTCCTAATGCTTTACAGAATGGGCGTGAATCAAAAGCTTGACATCCAAGGAATTTCAACGTTGTTTGTGTGTGTGGCCCACATTTTCTAACCATGCTGGTTCAGCAAGTCAGGGGTAAGAACCGAAGGATGAAAAGCTTAGCCAGCTGGGCATGGATCTCTCACAGATTACCTCGGCTTCCAATCTTTTGTTCAACCCATTTAGCCTTGAATTTTTAATACATTTGTCAAATTTATTTATTTATTTATTTTTGCCTACCATTTCTTTCAACAGAGTCAATGATGACTTTATCTTGGTGTACTTTTTTTAAAAGCCCCAAAGTGTTTGGCCTAGAAATGACACAAAATGTTAAGGTTTAAGGTGCTTTTTGCTTTCTAAAATATGCCAGAATACCAAGCTAAGTAACTTCAAACTAAGGTGATGTCAGGTGAAGAGCCCCGGAAGTGGGACATTTTATCTTCCTGGTTAGTCCATTACATGCAAAGCAGGGGAATGAGGTGTTTTTACTATTTTATTGCTTTCAGAGTCAATTCTACATCAAGAGACAGAAACCAAGATGACTCAAGAGCTCTTGGAAAAAAAAAAAAAAAAACATTCTCTTAGAGAACTGCATGGTTTTCTTACGGCCTGTGTGGAGGGAAAGCTGTGATGAAGGACCTGTAATTTTTATTTGCAGACTTTCAGTTCTGCTCTCATTTTGTTGAAACCATTGGTTCCGTCTTTCATTTCCTATACCAAGCGCATCATTGAGACCAGCTTCTGGGTATTTATTTGCAGTCCTGATTGGCTGGGGTTCTGATGCACGAGGCCCTGCCATCTTCTCTGTGAGAAGTGTTGGTTCGTTTCTGGATGGAGGACTCAAGCTCATTTTAGGGGCTCTCCTAGAGGTAGGGGTGAGTGCTCCAAGGGTGGAACATGCGTGAAGAATCGGTTTGCTCTCCCTCAGCTCTGTGCATAACCAAAGGTTTGATACCAAATGCAGAAGTTGCCAATGGAAGAAAATGCCACTTCAACTGCATGTGGAACTGTGGTTTTGAACCCAAGTGAAAATCAGAAGATTCTGGGGAACTTGAAAGTTACCCGATGTGTTTGGCTCAGGGATTAAAAATTTGACTTATCTTCATTCTAAATGCAATACAGAGTCTGACTCCTGCACAGGCTAAAGAAAGCAAGAAAGAGAGAGAAAGAGAGAAGAAGGAAGGAAGGAAGTAGAGAGGGAAGGAAGGAGGGAGGGAAGGAAGGAAGGAAGGAAGGAAATGTATGTTTTTCTGCACCTTGAAGAATAAAACGCTGGCCACAATTAGCCTTCACTATTCTCCTTAATGCTAATAATTAAGCACAGATTCCTTAGTTAAGTATGAAACGGTTTTTGGAAAAAAAAGTGCTGGGAACTCAGAGGTGGGAATGATGATCTCAAAAGTTCTCTGGACTCTGTGCATCGCGTTCTCACAGCCTTTCATTAACCGTCTCCCTCTCACCCTCAACAGGTCTGAAAGGTAGAGAACGTGTGCTGTTACTCAGGTGTATCTGAGAATTATCTAGGCATATTTGTAAAAGAAAACAAAAAGCCCCTTTTATGCTTACAGTGATCCATTATCTCCAGTGTCTAATTTGGGAGCGGGACCAGGAGTAAAGTTCATGAAATGTTAGGTGGGTTAGAGACCACTGAGCCATCCTCTGCCTGACATGGGCATCTTGAAACTGCCTTGTGGCCATGTGCTGCATCCATGGTCTTGTCCCTGGAAAAGAAACAAAAAGGGACATGAGAACAGGTGGCAGTGTCAGCCGATGACGCTGGCCCCGGGCACCCAGAGGCCCCCAGAGTAGCTCAGGCTCGGGACCTCCTCTTATCCAGATGGTGGGACCGTGATGCGCAGAAACCGCTCTGCTCCAGAAAGACCTGGGAGCACTGGGAGCCGGGCGGACACAACGCGGTGTTTGCACAGATTCGCCCCTTACTTCTCAGTCACATCGGGGCTAAAAACTCATTTCAAAAAGAACTAACCTGGGGACTATCGCAAGGAGGCATCTTTTCATCCTTGACTCTGCTGTCCTTAAACCACGGACCTCCCACTTTCCCTTTTGGCCCTCAAAGTCACTTGGTCCTGACTCCATCCCTTCGGATTCTGCTAAGGATTTTTTCCTGCAGAGCCTCAAAATCGCACAGAACAGACACCCTTGGACTCACCTCTCAGAGCCTCCTTCTTAAGAGATGGGCTGCGTCCCTGAGCCGCTCTTGTGGAAATCTCCTTTTATCCCATGGTTAGAGGAGACAGAGAAGGTTCTCTGGGCACAACTGGTCCTTCCAGGTGGAGACCAAAAATCTGTTTTGTTAAATCAACTTTCTCAGCACTCTTCCCTCCCTCTTCTTCCCTGTCCTTCCTTTTTCTTCCTTTCCTGACTTCCTCTCCCTCCTTCTGCTCTCCATGCTTTGCTTTCGTCTTTTACTTCATTTCTCTCCCTCCTACCCTCCCTCTCTTTCCTCCTTTCCTGTTCTCCTTCCTTCCCCTCTCTTTCCTTCCTTCCTTCACTTTTTGCCTTCCTTCCTTTTGCTTCCTTTCTCTCCCTCCCTCTTTCCTCCTTTCCTGTTTTCCTTCCTTTTTCTCTGTCTTCCTCCCTCCCCTTCTCCCTCCCTCCCTAGTAGCATGTGCGTGGTTGACAGATTGCCTGGACTTGAATCTCAATACCGTCACTTACTACATGCATGCGCTTGGGCAGTTTGCTGAAGAGCGTATGTCTCTCTTTCTTCATCTGTAAAATGGGTTAATAATTGTACTTACCTCATACAAGAGAAGGACTTAGCAGAATGCGTGGTCCAAGAGAAGCTCTCCACAGGTGGTGGCTATTATTATTAGCTTTTTATTCAGCCCCATCCTGGGCATATATCTCTCTGCAAGGTGTGAGATGAACACAGTGGTTTCAAACTTTGTTTGTTTGTTTGTTTGAGACACAGAGTCTCACGCTGTAGCCCAGGCTGGAGTGCAGTGGCGCGATCTTGGCTCACTGCAGCCTCCGCCTCCCAGGTTCAAGTGATTCTCCTGCCTCAGCCTCCCAAGTAGCTGGGATTACAGGCACGTGCCGCCACATTCAGCAAATTTTTGTATTTTTAGCAGAGAGGGGGTTTCACCATGTTGGCCAGAGTGGTCTCAAACTCCTGACCTCAAGTGATTGGCCTGCCTTGGCCTCCCAAAGTGCCGGGATGACAGGTGTGAGCCATCGCACCTGGCCAAGATGAACGCAGTGGGATGATGGCCTGGCCCTGCCCCCTGGTGAATGATCTGGGAGGTGTGAGCAGGCATCCTCCATCCCACCTCTAATCCCAGCGTCACTCCATCAGGAGGCAGGGCACTCTGTCATCAGAGGACAATCCCAAAGTCTCTGTGAAGGAGGAGGCAGAGGAAAGGGAGCCTTGCCAGGCGCAGAAGTGTTCTGTTCCTTTGAAGGTGTGTTGATTTGGGTGGGAGAGGGCAGGGAGCAGTGTTCCCCATAGGCTGTGCCTGAGTGTCGGCACAGGTGTTCCTCAGAGAGTGAGACCAGTTTTGACTGGAGAAGAAAGTTTGCTGGGACAGAGTGGGACAGGATGCAGTGAGACCTGACCCATCAAGGTCCCTGGGCCCATACTTGGGGAGATTTTCAGCCACCCGGGGATTTCCTTTCTTTATCTGCAAAATGATGTCTGGTGACACTGAGCTCTTTGCTGCCGGTGGCATGTTAGCCTTTTCCTGATAGAAATGCTGGGATTGGGGAGGGCTCTCGGTGTTTCTGAGTTGGAGGAAAAGACTGACAAAATAGGTATTTTAGACACGTGTCCATCTGTGGTATACAAGGTACACACAGGGAAAGAAAGAAAATAGGCACTTACTTCACTTATGAAACCTGTGAAAATCCCCTGAAGGGAGGTGTGATTAGTCACAGCTTGCACATAGAGAAAACAAGTTGCAGAGAAGTAAAGAGATGGGGCTGAGGCCACCGGCTTGCAAGGGACCCTGCCTGCAGCTTCCAGAGCCCAGCGGCTGGGCCATGCGGAGAGGAACGGACTGGCTGGGACCTGGCATGGGTCCAGTCCTGCCACCACTTTGCTCCTGGACAGGGTCATCTGTGCCTCTTTTCATCCGGTGATTATTGCACTTATCTAATAAATAAAAATTACATGAGACGCTATAAATAGAAGTTCTGGACATGGTAGGACCGCATAGGCATCAGCTATGATTTAAACCACATGGCAAC
The DNA here is from genome assembly GCF_000001405.40 of Homo sapiens. Taxonomy (NCBI): domain Eukaryota; kingdom Metazoa; phylum Chordata; class Mammalia; order Primates; family Hominidae; genus Homo; species Homo sapiens. Next base: position 3,757,847 of record NC_000010.11, on the reverse strand, counting down.
AGCATGGCCTCTAGGAAGAGGGAGGCAGCGGGGAGGCTGTTCTGGTGCGAGATGAGCTCTGAGCAAGGCCCAGACAGGTTGCTGGTTAAGGCAGGAAAGGTGAGTCATCTTGTTCTCTAAGATTCCGAGAAGATGTCCTTAGGGTGATTTTTACAATGTTTCTTTGAATCACCTTTTTCTGCTAATGATGACAAATTACACTTTTAGAGATAATTTGAGTGTATTCCCTTCACTTAGTAATGTAATTTGTTGTTTTCAGGGCAAATAAGATTCGACGATGCAGGAATCTCTGGGACTTTGCTCCTAGGACTGCCCGGGAATCTTGACCCATCGCTAAGTAAGATGGTGTTTATAAACACAGGTGAGTTTCCTGTTTGTAGGGTTGTCTCGGCAAGACGTGGTTCCATGAGGACCAGTTTGCCCAGGTGCAGATCTGTGGTTTACACACATAAGTGACATCTGTAGGACCATGATGTCGCTCAGAAGCACTGTAGTGATGGCTGAAATTAAGCAGCCACAGGGAGACCTTTAGCTACTTAAAGAAGTCCAAATAACAGAAGAGAGACTGGTGTTGACCTTAGGTGACAAGGCCAAGAGAACTGAGCCAGTATCTCTGCAGCACAAGCCAGCAAGGCCACAGAGAAGAGGAGTCTCTGTTGACACCACTGCTGCTATTGTTCTTTTCCCTGAAAAACACAGTGTTCTCTGTTCTTCATCTCCCTTTACTTATTTATTGGATTTTCTACATTATTCCATTTGCTTAAAGTTCCAAAGAGTACACATAAGAACACCATTGATTGAAATAATTAAAACAGATAGCTTCAATAACAGCAAAACTGAACAGCAATGCAGCAGCTGATTTCTCTTTTGCCATTCTCTTGGGGTGTGGGTTTTGAAAAGCCAACTTGACTCCAGAATTTTTCAATATGCTTCGCTGTTGGAAATGGCTATGCCTTAAGGAAGTCAAGACCAGCCTTGTTCTCCTTAGACCAAGAGACCTGAGGAAGCACCTCACTGGCCCTCACCTGTGAAGGGGAATTGGCTTCTCCTCGGACAGTTATGAGAGTTTGCACCCTAGAAGTGAGGTGCATAGCAGCATGCTGGATGTGCTGTTTGCTTTTTTGTAAATAGGTGTTCTTTTGTTCATGCAAGATGTTAGAGAATTCTGTTTTCATTTTTTAGGGGAACCTCTCAAAGGAACAAAAAGCATTTATTCACTCAACCTGGGACTTCAACTTTATGGAAGAAGTAAGAGAAGAAGAGGAAGAAGAGGAAGAAGAAGCGGTGGCGGCGGAGGAGGAAGAGGAGGAGGAGGAAGAGAAGAGGAAGAAGAAGAAGGAGGAGGAGTAGCAGGAGGAGAAGAAGAGGAGGAGGAGGAGGAATGCATTTGTATTCCGTCTGGAAAAGAGCTTTCCCTAGGCAAAGCTAAGACACACAGCTGCAGCCTTGACCGATGACAGCTGTCCATTTCAGGTCCCACTCATAGAAATAATGACCCGGGCACAGGCAGCAATTGTAGCAGACGCTATTCCTTTTTTCTGTGTGTGCATCATTTTCGTTTGGTTTGTTTCTTACTCTTTGGTAGGAATTTCTGCTTGATGCTCCCACAGGACCTCGGTTCAGCTGGATCAGTGGAAAACCTGTACAACTTGTCCCTTTATAAAAACTCCCAGTTACAGTTTTTCTTTGATATTTACTTTGGAATACCTAGAGACTCTTCCCACCCACATCCCCCTTTCCAAAGACAACATGGTCGTGTTGGAAACAAAATTCGGGAGACCAGAGGACTTTGACTGTGGGAAGAAATGTGGTAGTTTAGGAACCTGCGACTCCTTCTTCCCAGCCCTCCAGACCCTCCAAAGAGCTGTTGACAAGAGCCTTAGATGAAGGCCCTGAGCTGTAGCCTAGCGCAATTCTCCTTTGCCTATCTGAAGAGCAGGACAGGCAGGATTAGCGAGGCAAACAAAACCTGAAGGACTTCTTAATAGCCAGACATCTGAGGCCCTTCAGAACCACTTTGAAGATCGGGGGTGATACTGGCTGAGGCTCCAGGTTTATCATTTGATTTGTGACTTTCAGCTCAGGCAGGAGACAGAGAGGAGAGTTCACCAGAGACAAGTCACTTCTGTTGAATGAGTCACCATCGCCACACAGCTGCTTGTTCCAGAGCAGCTATGGTGGGGACATTGTCTAGGATCCCAGGAAAAGTGAAAACATTGACCGGAATGTTTCCAGCACAATGAATGTGATAACAGAGAATGAATAAGTGGAACAGCTCCAACACAGCCAAGAAGATGTTGCTTTATGAGAGCTGACTTTCCCCAGAGCAGTGCGCTCCCATCACAAGGAGGATTAATTCATACATTTCAAGGCCTAAATGACAGACGATAAATGTGTGTAATTATGTAAGTGAGCCCACTGTGTTAGTATGCAAAGGTGCCCACTTTTCCTGCATCAGATATTGACCCTCTTCCATGTCAAAATTCAGAGAGTGACAGCTGCCAATCTCACCCCAGCATCCTCACCTGCTAACCAGGTATCTGTACTCACTCAGCGTGCCTGCTTGGCGAATCTCAGCTGAGTCAGTTACAACAGGTCCCCTTTCAGACAGGTGATGATTAGAAGGTTTGTGACTCAAAGAGCATGACGTGTTCCCTTTCCTCTGCAGCAGGAAGATACTCCCTGATATCGTAGCAGTGACTCAGCCTGCCAAGACAATCCATTTCATTCTTGTACCATTCTTGCATAAATCACAGTGCAGAAAGCTTGGCAAGATAATTTTTAAATTTTAAACTCGACCAGGAGAACTGTTGAGAAATAAGACTTCATATTGAAGTACGTTTCCTCTCCTCGGAAGCTTTCAAGAGGCGATGCTGGGTGAAGGGTTACTCCAAGGTAAATAAATGGTACTGTACTTGGTAGTAAACAGGAGCTGAGTGCTGATTCAGCCAGTCACAGGCCGTTCCTTCCTGAAGAACTCAAAAGCTGTTAGCATGTAAAGTGGGCTCTTCCACAAGGTGACAGATCAATCAAACTCTGTCATCTCCCAAACCTCTTTGAGGCAGGGTTCCATCAACAGATACCATCTTTGTTCACTTTACAGTTTGGGGGGTGAGGAGAAGGGCAGAAAAAGAACTCTCATTGGAAATATTATTTAATGTTTTAAATTAACTCAAAAGATCTTATGTTAATATATTATTTTTGTGAGTTGTTCTGAATTTAGATTCGTTTCCGTGTAATAATTCAGATACAAAGCTAAACATTGCAGAAATGATGGCAAATACTCATTTAAGGTTTATTATGCACAAAACACCAAGATATGTGTTTTGTATTATTTAGTCCTCTTGGAAACTGAAGCAGATACTGTTATTATCACACTAAGACAGGTGAGCAAACTGAGGCCAGGAGAGGCATCCGAGGTTACGCAGAACCCAGCCCACGACACACAGCTGCACTCTTTCCCTGCAAGTGACAAAGTTTAGCTTTATAAGCCAGGATTGCCTTTCTTTTCACTCTGACTAGAGAAAAATAGTTCAAACACAGCCAGAAAAATGTTGCTTTACGAGACCTGACTGACCCCAGAGCAGTGGGCTCCCATTATGGGGAGGACATATATAAGAGCCTAAAATTATAGCTCTAAAATTTATATCATTTTATTATATATTTATCTGAACTTTTTTTATTATTATTTATTTATTTTTGAGATGGAGTCTCACTCTGTCACCCAGGCTCAAGTGCAGTGGTGCTATCTCAGCTCATTGCAACCTCCACCTCCTGGTTCAAGCGATTATCTTGCCTCAGCCTCCCAAGTAGCTGGGATTACAGGCAACCACCACCACGCCTGGTTAATTTTTGTATTTTTAGTAGAGACAGGGTTTCACTATGCTGGCCAGGCTGGTGTTGATCTGTCCTCAGGTGATCTGCCTGCCTTGGTGAACATTTTCTATATATGTAAAATATTGTTATATAATTTACATTTCAGTTCAATATATCAGAGCCATGTCCTTGCTTTGTGTCTTTGCCATTCGAGCTGCTGTAACAATACACATGGCTTAAACAAGTATTCATTTCTCACAGTTCTGGAGGCTGAAAGTCCAAGATCACGATGCTGGCAGAATCGGTGTCTGGTGGGAGCCTGTTTCCTGGCTCGTTGATGGTGCCTTCTCCTTGGGTCCTCACCCGGTGAAAGAGGTGAGGGAGCTCTCTCTGGCCATTTTTTCTAAGGGCCCTAATCCCATCCTTAAGGACTCCATCCTTATGACCTCATCACTTCCCAAAGATGGCATCTCCTAATACTTAAGAGGTCAGGATTTCGACATGAATTTTGAAGGAACACAAATATTCAGTCCATAGCACCTTCCAAAGAGTTAGAGTGTGTGTTCCCAGCCTCAGCCACGTTGACATTCTGACGGAAACAGTTCTTTGTGGTAGGAGACCGTCCTGTACACAGTGTGTTCAACAGCACCCCTGGCCCTCACCCACTAGATGGTAGGTGCATATCTGTCACTTGTGACAAGCAAACTTACCTCCAGGCATTGCCACATGTCCCCTGCTCGGGTGGGATGTGGGAAGCCAAGTCAACCCCAGGAGAGAGCCACTGATGGAGACATTCCAGGGCAATCTTATTCCTGAAGTCCTGTGTCTTAGTTAGAAACGTAAAATACGTGAGTGGCAAACAACCCAAGACTTCCTTGCTGAACAGCAGGAAATCAGCCTCCTGTAGCCCCACTCCTCACCTCCACTTGGCATGACCAACCTCCTCAGTCCTCAGTGGGTTTTCTTCCCTCTTCCCTGGAACTGTGTAAGGATTCCTGATGTCTCCACCAGGCCCTAGCCTGACACCTGCTCCTCACGGCTCAGGACGCTGCCCCTCAAAGGCCTGGCCCAAAATAGGAGCTGATAATCTGGCATGACTTCTTATACTAAGCCTTCCAATTTCTCTCTGGATTAGATTCTTTTCTCCCTCTCCCTGGGATAGGAAACATTCAGAGTTTGACTCTTGATTTGCCCACCACCCCAGGGCTGTGCCCCACATGGCTTCTTTGGGATATTTAGAAGAAAAATCCTCATAAGAAATTGACTGTGAGGGCCGGGCGCAGTGGCTCACACCTATAAATCTCAGAACTTTGGGAGGCCGAGGAAGGCAGATCACTGAAGCTCAGGAGTTCGAGACCAGCCTGTCTGTACTAAAAATACAAATATTGGCTAGGCATGGTGGCACACACCTGTAATCTCAGCTACTTGGGAGGCTGAGGCAGGAGAATCGCTTGAACCTGGGAGGCAGAGGTTGTGGTAAGCCGAGATTGGGCCACTTCACTCCAGCCTGGGTAACAGAGCGAGATTCTGTCTTAAAAAAAAAAAAAGACTGTGATAGGAAATGGTTCTCTCTAGTCCTCAAAATGTTTTTTATGAAATAGATCCCATCACGATGAGACCTGCTGCATTCATGATGTCAGAATCATCATACAAAGGTGCACACTGGTGTATTTAAACTTGGGATATGGCATGCTTGCCTCTGTGCAAACTGTACATGCCGATTTCCACTCTCTAGGGGATCATTCTGAGGCCACCAGGGGCTACTCTGATAACACACAGCCCTGCAGGAAGCAGAGCTCCTCCTGGCCTCCCCAACACCCTTGGGGCAGAACAGGAACTTCTCCAAGCACCTGTCCTCCTTCTACTGCAATTTCTCCTTCACCTTCAGTGATTGTCTTTATATAATGTAGAGCCCAAGTTCAAGGGCTTGTCTCCAGGATGATGCCTTATGACATACAATTTTCTGGGCAAATTTCTACCTCTTTCCCATTAAAACCATGTCTGCATCCACAGTGACACGTTCCTGAGAACACTGCGGACAGAAGGCGCAAATGTCTCATACCTGAACTTAGCCCACGTGTCGCTTCTGTGTTTATTATGTTTTTGTTAGAATTGGTCTGTGTTCATTCTAAGTGTAAAAAGAACGCAAATTAAATAGGATACAAGATATATGACTAAAACCTTTTAAAACTAATATTTATATGAAATAAGACATTCTGTGTTATTTTTAGGTGAGGTGAGAAAAATGTCCTATTATAAGATATATAGTTTCTTATAATGGAAAGAAACATACATATTTCCCATTAAATAACCTCTGACATTATTTTAACATTTTCTACCAAGTTTATTACTGATAAATAGAAGTCAAGAAATAACGCCACTGAGAATATCCTATATTGAAGAATCTTGTTTTATAAAGCATCTTCCCATACAATGATAATCGGTTACTGTAATATCTTTTCAAGCCATACCACTCAGAAATATTTTAAATATTATACAACTTTGTATATATATATATATTATATATATGCATATTTTCTTTAGTCAATGACATGATGCTTTACACAAGTCAAATATTATATTCATAATCTTAGAAAAGATCTCATAAAGAACTTGGTAACTAACTTTGAGTGTATGTGAGACTCTTTCAGGACACTCTTAAGAAATCAAACATTTGGTATTGTGTTCTTTGCTCGAGTACAACTTGATCATACGAGTCTAATCTGTGTTTCCATGTTTCTGCATTTGAATGAAACTAAACTGAAATGCTTGGAACCAGTGCCTTTCCTCTCTGAAGGCTCTGCACTATGGGCCATGTGACTGTTCTCAGATGTTGAAAGAAACCCACCTCCAGGAACTGGACCTCACTTGACCAAGCAAACCACGCGACACCAGCCTATGTGTCCACTCACCCTTGAAAGAATGGAGGGAAAAGCTTCTCCTGCTGGGCTGTGTCCTGCAGCCGGGAATCCTGGCGGGAGGCAGAGGCCTCTGATACGCTTCTGATGGGTGGGTGGGAGGTCCGTGTGTGCGTGCATGCGTGCATGTGTGTGTGAGAGAGACAGGAATGTGCCTTCTTTATCAGAAGCCATTTCCTATGTTCAAATGTGATTTCTCTATTTATCTACAATCTCAACTAGAAGCATAGAAAGAATTCTCACTCATGTTTAGGGGGAAAGAAGTCCAGCTGTGTCTATGAAAGCATTCATATTATCTCTCCCCCACCCCTTCAATATCTTGCCCAAAGCATTAGACATTCACTGTAGGTTTAGGCTAAAAACTTTATTCTATTTAGCTGAGCGTTTCCAATATGTTAATAGGAATATGAGAGAAGCGACACGCTTGAAAACATCACAGTTAATTCCTCCATTGCAAGATACAGTGATTGATTGATAGATGATGGATAGCTAGACATAGGCAGACAGATGGATACAGAAGCATAATAACATAAGTGGAAAATGGTCAGAAGTAGCAAAAGTTAAGGGGAAAATTGCCTTGAATTTCCCCACTGAGCTACCTTTGGCAGTGTCTAGGAGCCCCAGGAAGCGCTCAGCACACATGTATTAATCAAGTATGCCTTAAACATTCAAGCCTGGACACACAAAGCAATTTCAGCTTTTTTGTGAAATAAATATCAGGTATTAAAAACATACTTGGACACAGAACTGTTTTCAGTCCTCGGACAAAGGCCAAATAATCTGAGATGTGCACTGGGAAAAAAAGAAAGGCAGGCTTTCAGTTTCCTTTGGCATGAATCCAATTTGTGCAAAGTGCTGAGCCTCCACATCCTGGGAGAAGCCTCAGCCTAAAGCCCTCCTGGGGCCACGCTGGTTCCCTTCCCTGATGGCTGGACCCGGGTCGTCTCAGGGGCTTCCCAGCTGGGCTGCAGGGTCAGCTGTCAGCCATAAGTGGGCCCTTTGCTTCAATTGTCTCTGATGTCGCTAAGCTGCTGCAGAACCGGAGACAGATACAATGTCAGACTCCGTCTTAAACCCCAAGGACTGTGTCAGGGCCACTGTCATTTCATTCCTGTCTTTCAAATATCTTTACAAATGTAATTAATGGGGAATCAGCTGTCAAATCCATCTTTTAATAATCAAATCTTAGGTGGCAAGATTCGATTTTGCTTTGGGTTTCCTGATGGTTCAGAATGTGTTCCACGCAGCTCCCTCCCTTCTCAGCCAGTTCCCCGACCAGCTCGGGGGAACAACTATTTTTAGATCCAGGCAAGCCCCGGAGTGTCAGACGGTGAATTATTAGCTGTGACTTCAAAAACAGTCACGGAGATACTTTCGAAACCTCTGATTTCTCCATAGCATGTGGACTTGAATTTATATCCTGCCTTTACAGCCCAGATTCCTGTGGTGTAGAGAGAGGCAGGCCGTCAATGCAGCCCACATCTGATGTTCCTGGGCTTATTATTATTATTATTATTATTATTATTTTTTGAGATGGAGTCTTGCTCTGTCTCCCAGGCTGGAGGGTAGTGGTGTGATCTCGGCTCACTGCAACCTCCACCTCCCGGGTTCAAATGATTCTCCTGCCTCAGCCTCCCAAGTAGCTGGGATTACAGGCGCTCGCCCCCACACCCAACTAATTTTTGTACTTTTAGTAGGGACAGGATTTCACCATATTGGTCAGGCTGGTCTTGAACTCCTGACCTCAGCTGATCCACCCACCTTGGCCTCCCAAAGTGCTGAGATGACAGGCGTGAGCCACTGAGCCTGGCCTAGGTCTTATCAAAGCTCTGAAACTACTCCTGGGGTCACACTGGTGATGCACAGTGTCCTTAGATCACGTGCCTGCATTCAGAAGCAGCCCTTGTGCTCTGCACACCCCACTGGGGACCTTCACAGACGCTTCACCTGGCACACACAGCCAAGGACAGGGCAGCACTCAGAGCTACTCCACCAAGCCCGAAACCTACTTGCTCTACCTTTTGCTCTTTCCTTTATATTTTTTTTCATAATGTGGAGGTCAGACGGAGGCAGCATATTAACTCTTAGCACTGACCTGAATGTTCTACTTGAGCAGGTCTAGGAAAGCAAGGTCTGTAAAATGCCTGCTCGCGATTGTTGAGTACGATGTTTCACAAAACTGGAGAATATCAACACAGTGCCATTCCAAACTCCTTATTTTATAGAAAATAAATGGAGGCCTGGAGATGGTAAAGGACTTTCAGCAGGGTTATGACAAAACCATAAACCTGATGATGCCTGAAGTGTCCAGACTTCCAAATTCATGCGGTTTGGAGAATGTTCTGCCTGACAGCAGCAGGGAGTTGTAAGCAGGTTCAGCGTCATCCAGAAATGCTTGTGTCAGACCACCGCTTCCACAGAGGGTTCTGCAGAGATAAAAGTAGACAAGATGGCGAGGAAAAGGTTAAACACTCCCATTCTCTAGGATTGCCTGGCATAATTCTTTGTGCTCATGGATGTCATCGTCAAGATTCGCGACTGTGGGCAGGAATGTGCAGGTGGGGGAGTCAGCACCAATGAATCCTATTAATTCATGCCAGCCAGTCACTTCTGCTTTCAGGAAAAGATTCAGATTTCCCCAGTCTTAGGAACATTAAAAAAAAAAAAAAAAAAAAAGAAAAGAAAAGAAAAAAAAAGAAACAGCTTTTGGTTTTTTTTTTTTTTTTTTTTTTTTGGAGGAAACTGTCTTTCATACTAGATTTAAAAAGGAGGGTGTTTTAGAAGTGACAGATGCAAATATCCCCCACCAGTGTTTGTACAGCTTTGGGCAAGTGACAGGTCAACCTCCAGTTGTTGACAGGGAGAGGTTTTGTGAGCCAAACACCTTTATCATGAAGTATTATCTTGTAAAAATATTTACTAGGGTGTAAGTGCAGAACATTGTGCTTCCAGTGAGGCACACGAATTTTGCAACCGTGATGCAGTCCCACAAAACAATACCCAGGAAAAGGCCTTATTTTTCTCAGCCCTTGCTGTGCACGTTGTTTGTATGGAAGCGTTCCCTGATTGGCTCTGCCTCTTGTTTTGAAGTTCTGTTTTCACGGTTGACCATGCTTCCCGGTCACATAGAATACCTTTTTATTACTGCCCCTGATTTTTGTGTAAAAGAAATTTGAGTTTATGTCATAAAGTGAGTGTCACTCCTAAGAACCAAGCTTGATGAAAATTGTGCTCCTATCTGGCAAACATTCTCATTCCCGTGCATCTTTGGCACGGCCGTCTTCTTCTGTGGTGTTCAGAGTGAAACAGAGTCAACCATCAAACCGGAGGCGTTAGGACGCATTGGAGCTTTCCGGTAGTGATAAAGACACGTGTGGCATGGATGAGTTGCCTTCAGGGGAAGAACAGAGCCACCCTCTGTGTCTTCGGAAAGTTCCAGAATCTGTGTATTTGGGCTTCCCGCATGCACAGTGTGCTCAGGGACTGTGGCTGCAGGTGGTCAGATACCTAGGACCACGGGAGGAGGAAACGGAGCTTCAGGAGCAGTGCCCTCCCCCACTTTTCCTGTAATTCAGAGCCATAAATAGAGCTGGAAATGAAGCCAGGCTCCACATTGCCCAGCACATCATTCTGTGGGGATTACAGCCTCATTCACGCCGGGATTACTGCAGCAGCCTCTGAGCTGCGTCCTGGGCCAACACCGTCCACATTCCGTTCAGCTCGCACACTCGTGCCAGGCTGAGCCTTCCTGGGTGCCGCTTTCATCCCGCCGTCCCCCAGTTTGAGAAACAGAGAACATCGCGTGTGCCGACTTCATCCTGCCTCAGCCCCAGCAGCTTTATGGCGCTCCAGGGTCCCTGGCCGATGTCCTCCACGACCTGCATCCCTCTGTCAGGGACCCTGTTCTCCAGTACCCCTGCTCACCGCATCTAGGTGCACCCATGCCTGGCCACATGCTCCTGCAGACGCCCCCTGATCCTCCACCTCTGTAGACAGGGGCTGGATTCATATCAGTGGTTCCCAAGGAGACTCCACAGACCAGAAGGGAGAGAATCAGCTGTGAATTTTTACTGCAAATATTGCCATGGGTTGGCAAAGCCACCAAAAGTCCCTTCCCAAATTAAACAAAATGGGGATACGCACCACCACCCTCACCCAACACACACAAGTCTCCATTTATTTTAAGTCAAACTCAATGAAGCTGGAAAGGCTCCACATTAGTGGTGTTGCACAGCTGCTAATTCAGCCTCCCCTGGATTGTGGGGCGTGTAGGCTTGCGTGGTGTTCTGTCCAGAGGACACACGGGAATGTGCAAGGTGACCAGAAGCCTCCAGCAGGGCTGTCACCTGGCAGAAAAGTTTGAGGTCTTTGGCTTTGCTGTGTGACGATGAGCCGGAGAGTTTGGCAATGTGTGTAAGAACAGTGTGTTTAGGGTGGGTAGATATATGGGTTTAAGAAATCGATTACTCCAGATTTTATAGCCATAAGTGGACTTAGCGTCTTCATGTTTAAGGTGGAGAAATGAGCTCTAATGGTTAAATGACTTTCTTAAATGTCTTGGCAGCAGAACTGGAGGTGAAACCCGGGGATGTGGCCCCCACGCGGAGTTCCCACTGCACCGAAGTGCTTCTCTGCCTTGTATTGCACTGCAGTGTGAAATTTATACATTTAAAAATGTTTCAGTCTATACCAAAATTAGCCGAGTGCGGTGGCATGTACCTGTAATCCCAGCAAGTCGGGAGGCTGAGGCATGAGAATCTCTTGAACCCGGGAGGCAGAGGTTGCAGTGAGCCAAGATCGTGCCATCTGCACTCCAGCCTGGGCAACAGAGCGAGACTCCATCTCAAAAAAAAAAAAGTTTTTGTCTAGTTGTAAAATATACACTTACTATAAATATTAGACTGTAGGAACAAAGAACAAAGAGGAAGAAAGAAAACAATTCACCATCCAGCATTACACATAGTTACAGATCCTGTCAATTTCTCGTTCGCTCTCTCCTTTTCCTTATGTCTTTACATCAGAACCCTATCTTACATATTGTTTGAAACCTGACTCTTTCTCATAAAATATATGAATATCTTTTCAAATTAATAAACATCGCTATACACAACAACTTTTAAGATTGACCTGGCATGCTACTACCCGGCTGTAATCTCATTTACTGGATCATTTCCACATTGACGCCATCTGGAATACTTCCAATTGCCATTATCATTTTAAGGCAGGTATTTTCCTCATCAATTTTACATTTGTGTTTCCTTCACTTGTGACAATTTCCTGAGACCCTTTTGTGCTGTGGCACCCTGCTGAGAGCAGCTGTGGTGTTGCCAAGCGTCACAGGCTCCTCTCTAATTCTAACGCTCTTTCAAGTAAGGGACTGTTTTTTGGGAGGGTGCAGCACGCTTTGATGAGCTGGATATCAAGGTCTGCGTCTGTGCTGATATTTATTTACTCTTTGGTTCCTTCAGTGCTTGTTTTCAGCCCAGTGTTCCTGCTGTTTCATGGTGATTGGCAGAAGCTGCACTTCTGAGAGATGGGAGGAGGGATTCTTCTTCCTCTCTCATCCCATCACCTGCTCCAGAAGGCAGCTGGAGCAAGATGCGTATGGTGACAAGACTGTTAGGAGGAAGGAGAAATTCTAGAAAACAATGTGACATCTTCAAAGGTGAAGAACTTTGCAGCTCATGGAATTACAGTTAACTGAGAACCTTGGTTCGAATGAGTGGATGGATGACTATTGGAAATAGAATAGTGACTTTATATAAATTGAACAATGGGTGGAGATAGCTTTTGGGCATGTGAATATTGAATGCATGTGTGTTTTTGTGGATGAGTGTGGATTAGAGAGTGCGAGAATATTCTGACTGGCTGGTATGGTCCAATGGAAAATAAAGAGGGATAGTGATTGTAAGATTTTTAGGAGTAAAATTTAATATTTTTATATCATAATATAATGAGAAGCTTTATTCAAAGACTGAGATTGCTTTATTTCTAAATTTTTATTTATGTATTTGTTTACTTTATTTTTTTATTTTTTGAGGTGGAGTCTCGCTCTGTTGCCCAGGCTGGAGTGTAATGGTACCATCTTGGCTCACTGCAACCTCCACCTCCCGGGTTCAACCAATTCTCCTGCCTCAGCCTTCCGAGTAGCTGGGACCACAGGTGTGTGCCTCCACTCCTGGCTAATTTTTGAATTTTTAGTAGAGATGGGGGTTTCACCATGTTGGCCAGAGTGGTCTCGAACTCCTGACCTCAGGTGATCCACTTGCCTTGGCCTCCCAAAGTGCTGGGATTACAGGTGTGAGGCACCGCATGAGTCCTTGTTTACTTTAGAAATAGAGTTTGCTCTGTGGCCCTGGCCTGAGTGCAGTGGTACCATTGGAGCTCATTGGAGCCTTGAACTCCAGCGCTCAAGGGATCCTCCCACCTCAGCCTTCTGAGTAGTTGGGATTACAGGTATGCACCACCAAAACCAGTTTGGAATTGTTTTAATATGGCAAAGGAAGGCAGGAAAAGGAAATATTAAGCTTTCAGTCCTCAAGGTCAAGGACAAAGCCATGCTGATCACCTATCAGCAGCGTGGGGCACAGAGCTGGTGAGCGCCAGATAAAGGTTTCCTGATGCTGCTTGAATGGGATGCTTGTCCTTCCTCACTATTCACTGCAGCTACTTTATTGCTCTACTTAGTACGTAGTTAATCTAATCAGCACTATTGCGAAAGAGATTATGCTAGGCGCTGTCTTTGTTTTAACCTTCTTTCTTTCCCCATAAATTGTGACTCTGATATCGATGGTAAGATTTCAAAATGTCAAATACTAACTTACATTATTCTAGTAGTTAATTGAGAAAAATACAAAGATACAGAAAAAATAGGGAAAAGTAAAATATATAGATAACGATTCCAGGAAAGCTTAATTAAAAAAAAAAACACACAACAGGAGTTACAGCAAAAGAAACTTGGAAAAACAGAAATTATAAAAGAAATAAATCAAGAATATTGTTCAAAGCTAAAGAATATAAGCCTTTAAACTAAAAGGCTCATAAAATACCAAACAATTCAAATTAAAAAAAGAATTGCAGCCGGGTGTGGTGGCTCACACCTGTAATCTCAGCATTTTGGGAGGCCGAGGTGGGCAGATCATGAGGTCAGGATATCGAGACCACCCTGGCTAACACAGTGAAACCCTGTCTCTACTAAAAAAACAAAACAAAACAAAACAAATACAAAAAATTAGCTGGGCGTGGTGGTGGGCACCTGTAGTCCCAGCTACTCGGGAGGCTGAGGCAGGAGAATGGCATGAACCCAGGAGGCGGAGCTTGCAGTGAGCCGAGATCGTGCCACTGCACTCCAGCCTGGGCGACAGAGCAAAACTCCATCTCAAAAAAAAAAAAAAAAAAGAATTGCATTTGAACACTTGATTGGGAATGTTACATAATGAAGGTTAAATCAGAGTAACAAAAGTGTTCAAAATTGAGAATCACTGAAAAAATGATAAGAATTGCTTTAGCAGTATTGAACAAAAAATGCAATAAAGCAAAACCTTCAAATTAGTGATAGAAATTATTTTGAAACACTACTTCTTTCATTTAGTAAATCTATTTTTTATGGGCCTACCCTAAGGAAGATGTTTGTTATTTTATACATTTTTAATTTGTTAACCAACAGATTTGGATGCAATATTGCTACTCAGTGTGTTTCCAATATTTAGAGCTCTTAGAAGAGAAATCCTAAGCAAATGATCCTGTTTATTTTCTCTCCAAGTTTCACATCTACAGGAGTTAGTTTGGATAAAGAGAACATAATATTCTCATTCTGGGCTTTTTCTTTTTTCTCTAACAAATTTTCATTTATCTGTTGATATATACATGACAGTCTTGCTTTAAAAAATTATAAATTTTATGGTTTCTTTTAGGCAGGTTAAAATATTTTTGCTAACCCATTCATTCATGCATTTGTTCAGCAAGCTTTACTGAAAGCATATCATATCCCATGCATTGTGATAGGCACAGGACATGTAAACAACAACTGCATTGCTTGTCTTCAAGGACACACACACGCATATAAACACACACATATATACACACACACGTATATATACACATATACATATATATGCTCTCTATGCATGTATAGATGCAAATACATAAAATGTGCATGCATGTGTGCATGTGTGTGTGCATGTGTGTGTGTGTGTGTGTGTAGTCCTTGTCTTCAAGGTCCATATGTATATATTTCTTGTCTTCAAGGACACACACACACACATGCATATATATGACAAAAAATGTATATATGAAACTTGAAGGCAAAAAAATAGCAGGAGTTAGAGCAAAATAAACTTGGAAAAACAGAAATTATAAAATAAATGAAACAAGAATATTGTTTAAAGCTAAATAATATGAGCCTTTAAACCAAAAGGCCCACAAAATACCAAACAATTCAAATTAAAAAAGAATTGTATTTAAACACTTGCTTGTGAATGTTATGTAATCAAGGTTAAATGGAGTAACAAAAGTGTTACTATACACACACGCACACATACATGGACTACACACACACACATACATGAACACACACATGTATATGTATATGTATATATAGAGATTAACGGAAGTGGCTGCTGAGATTATGAGGACCTAGAAGTCTCACAATCTGCTGTCTGCAAGCTGCAGAGCCAGGAATGCTGGTGGTGTGGCTCAGTCCCAAGTCCCAAGTTCAAATCTGAAGACCTAAGAACCAGAAGCTCCCAACGTGAGGGCAGGAGAAGATGGATGTCCTGGCTACAACACAGAAAGAAAATTCACCCTTCCGCTACATTTTTTGTACTGTTTGGGCTCTGAAAGTGAAACTGCCTTTGCAAAATTATGACTGAGACAGTGAAAAAGATCCAACTTAACCAATTTCATCTTGCCTCTAACCTCCAAGCTGTCCTTGTTCATTCTTGTCATAGGCTGAACTAACTTTGGGAGAAACTTAGTTCATAGTTTACAGTTTAAAACAAAGACAATAACAGCCCTTTCCCAAAACAAACCTCCTTCTTGCCTGGGAACTAGGCTACTAACATTAGCCACAAGATTAGTAATTACGGTTTAGGAGTCATGCAGCTGGAGGCTACGAGATTCTGAACCTCTTTAAACTGCTTCTAAAATCCGTGCTTGAGATGTTTTGTAGACCCTGCACTTGATGAAGCAGCTGGCACCACACAGATGGATAAACTGGCCCATCTGATCTTGTGACCCCCACCCAGGAGCTAACTCAGCCCAAGAAGACAGTGATGCTCCATGATTTCATCTCCAACCCAACCAATCAGCACTCCCCAACTCACTGCCCCTCCCCACCCACCAAATTATCTTCAAAAACTCTGATCTCCAAATGTTCGGGGAGACTGATTTGAGTAATAATAAAACTCCAGCTTCCACACAGCTGGCTCTGTGTGAACTACTCTTTCTCCATTGCATTTCCCCTGTCTTGATAAATCGGTTCTGTCTAAGCAGCGAACAAGGTGAACCCGCTGGGAGGTTACAAAAGAACTGGATTATGCCCACATTGGCGAGGGTGGGTCTTCTTTACCTCCATTCACCAATTCAAAAATCAATCCCATCAAGTCAAATGAAATGCAAATCTCTTCCAAAAACACACCTGGGAATGGACTTTTACCAGCTATCTGGGCATCCCTTTGCCCAGTCAAGTTGACATAAAATTAACTATCAAAAAAGTCTTTCTGAAAAGTGGATTAGCCGGGCACAGTGGCTCACACCTGTAATCCCAGCACTTTGGGAGGCCGACGTGGGCAGATCGCAAGGTCAGGAGATCGAGACCAACCTGACTGACACGGGGAAACCCTGTTTCTACTAAAAATACAAAAAATTAGCTAGGTGTGTTGTTGGGTGCCTATAGTCCCAGCTACTCGGGAGGCTGAGGCAGGAGAATGACCTGAACCGGGGAGGTGGAGCTTGCAGTGAGCCGAGGTCGTGCCACTGCAGTCCAGCCTGGGGCACCTGGGGCAACAGAGTGAGACTCCATCTCAAAAAAAAAAAAAAAAGAAAGAAAAGTGGATTAAAGATCTTAATTTTACCAATCAAGTAAAAATATACATTGCAATATAAAATATTATTTTGTGAATCTTTTTCTGAAGATTTAAAAATTATCCAATAAATATGTTTAATCTAGATTTTATTATAACAAAAACCACTATGTCTGCTGATTGGTCAAATTCAAGACCTGTACAATAAGGATCACTAAAATATGAGCTGGCGGAGGACAGGGTTTTGGCTGCATTCTTACAGCTGTATCTGTGGCACCACGGACAGGTTTGATTTCAGTGGGTGACTTGGCACTTAGTAAACACATTCGCTGACTGAGTTGAATACTTAATTATGTGTCAGCCTCTGGATTTAACACACACTCTCTTGCCCAAATTTCACAACTGCCCTATGTAATAGACATTACTCTGCATTCCTAATACTGAGAAAACAGAGGTATTAAGGGCTTGAGTAACTTGCTGCAATTCTCCAGTTAGTGAGTGATAAAGTCAGAATGCGAATCTTTACCTAAATGCCTCCCTTGATGACCAACCTGTGAAACAGCTACTGATATCTCATGTGTACTGAAGATGAGGTTTCCTGGCTCAGCTGATAAGTCAAGTGTTTTTGGTAGGGACCTACACAATGGGATGATTCAGCTTTTATGGACTCTGCTCCTTTAGTCTATTCTGAAGGGTTATATAATGGATTTTTCTCTTTTACTAATGTGTATCATTTTATTAGTGTTTGAAGTCTTGTAAAAAGTAATATCTGAAGGATGTAAGACAGCAAGTGAGAAAGAAACAGCTCAGAAGAGACTGAGTAATGCTGAGTAATGTTACCTGAACTTCCTGCTCTGCTGGGGTTCCTCTCATACCATATGAGTGGGTAAAGGGTGAAACGAAAATCTTATCTCAACATCCTTCCCCTGTGGATGACAAACTTTGATATTTATTTTATCATCGATATCAGTGAGTCCATATTTATAAAGCGAGGAGCTCTTACAGGAAAGCATTTGTCAAATACCTAATTACAAAATATATTGACCTTCATATTCTAAGTCAAGTGATATATTTTGTATCATTTTCTGCAGAATTATGATAAAGCACAGTGTGTATAAAGTCAAGTTACCCATTATTCTAGCACTGTTTAGTGTTTATATGACACATGCCAAACATGAGAATAACCCCCGTTTGAAAATGTATTTTTTTGGTTACTTACAGCTACCTTATTTTTTTCTTCTTCTTTTTTTTTTTTTTTCTTTGAGATGGAGTCTTGCTCTGTCACCCAGGTTGGAGTGCAGTGGCACGATCTAGGCTCACTGCAAGCTCTGCCTCCCGGGTTCACTCCATTCTCCTGCCTCAGCCTCCCGAGGAGCTGGGACTACAGGCATCCGCCGCCACGCCCGGCTAATTTTTTGTATTTTTAGTAGAGGCAGGGTTTCACCGTGTTAGCCAGGATGGTCTCCATCTCCTGACCTCGTGATCTGCCCACCTCGGCCTCCCAAAGTGCTGGGATTACAGGCATGAGCCACCGTGCCCGGTCTATTTTTTTCTTCTTATAATACATGTGCATTGTAGTACATTTGAGAAACACAGAAAGGAACAAAATTTTAAAAAAATAAAAATTATTTGAAAACTTGCCATGCCCATATTGTGTCTATGAATGTTTTGCTCTATTTCTTCCTATGCCTATATGTCTATTTTAATAGGATACAATTTAGGTGATGACTTTTTTTCCTCTTAGCATTAAATCACTGGTAGTGTCTGATTTTGCTTTATCATTTCCAGATAGTAGTAGCAAAATCCATAGGGGCTGGATTCAAATAGTTACTCTGTTTAGACATTTTGTCACATAAGAGTCTTATAGTTTTCTCTTATCCTCAGTTTTCTCATGTGACTAATCATGGTCACAATATTAATTCACAGGTTTGTTGAGAGAATCAAATGAACTCATGCATGGTGAAACTTTTGATATAACGTATGACTCAAACTAAATGTTCAATAACAAGTTACTATGTAAAAAACACTTAGAAATCATTCTAATGATTGCACAATAGTTCATTATATTGATATACTTTATTTATTTAGATATTCTTTTCTTTTTAAATTTTTTTTTTCAATTTGAAAGAATTCTGGAAAAACAACAGTCTTGAGTCAATATTCTGATTATATCCTTAAGATAGATCAACAGGAATGGAATCACTATGTAAAACACTGTCATCTTTTAAGGATAGTGAAAGGAATTTGAAAATTGTTTTTAAGAAAGGCTGTAGCCAATTATACTGGCATCAGGATGCCTGTTTCACCACAACCCCAAGGTGCCAATTAAACTATGTTTTCTTAGAAAGTAATCAACATTCTTACAGAGAAATTAGACAGTGTGGATGAGAACAAGAAGAAAATAAACATCTCACAATTCATAATCACACATGAAGACTATTGCTTTTTTGTTATACACATTCTGATTCTTCCTTGCATATGTAAGAATTTTTATTCTTTAACACCATTTTATTAAAAATCTGTACCAAATAATTATATTACTTTTACTTATTTATTCTAGAAGCATTTATTTTTAGTAATAAAGGAATAACTATCTTTTTTCACATAATAAATACATCTAAGGGCATAGCACATGATTATTAAAGGAAAAATAGTCCACATAGATTAACAGAGAAAAAATTAAAATAATATAAAATTCTGCCACTCCAGAGTAACCTCTTTGCTGTGTATACTTTTATGTATTTTTTTAACTATATATTATATACAGTTGACCCTTGAACAATGCAAGCGTTATAGGCACTGACCTCTCGCACAGTTAAATATTCATGTAGGGTTTGGCTGTGTCCCCACCGAAATCTCATTTTGAATTGTATCCTGGTGGGACATAATTTAAATCATTGGGGTGGTTTCCCCCATACTGTCCTCATGATAGTGAATAAGTCTCATGAGATCTGATGGGCTTATCAGGGGTTTCTGCTTTTGCTTCTCTCTCATCTTCTCTTGCCAGCACCAAGTAAGAAGTGCCTTTCACCTCCCGTTGTGATTCTGAGGCCTCCCCAGCCACATGAAACTGTAAGTCCAATTAAACCTCTTTTTCTTCCCAGTCTCAAGTATGTCTTTATCAGCAGGGTGAAAACGGACGAATACAATTCACATATGACTTTTGACTCCCCTAAAATTTAACTACTGATAGCTGACTCCTGACAGGAAGCCTTACTGATAGCATGAACAGCTGATTAACATATAAATAAGACTAGTATCTACATATAGTTTATGTATTCATGGCATACCTTTTTCTTAATTTTTTCAGGATTTCTAGGCTAAGCAGCTCATCTGTAAGGTTTTTCAAATTGTTACAATCTCCAAAAAAGTTTTCAATATATTCATTGGAAAATCCACACACAAGTGGACTAGAGTAGTTCAAACCCATGTTGTTCAAGGGTCAACTGTACATATAAATATTTGTTTCCACAAAAATGGGGTTATACTATGTATTATTCTGGTCACCAGATTGTACAAATATTTGATCAGATATAAACAATGAACATATTTAAGTTAAATCTTTGAGTATAGCTATAATTATTATAATAAATCTTTCCAAGTAAACTTATTGGACAAAAGGATGTACTTATTTTAAAGGTTTTTAATAGGAATAAGCAAATTAGTTTACAAAAAGGTTGTATTAATTTGTTTTCCACCAATAGTGTAGGAGGCTGTTTACTTCCTCATATGTGGGACAACATTGGATACTATAACTTATTTTTAATATTTGACTTTTGATGGGTGAAAATAGTATCTGGTATGTTATAGTTCTTTGAATGCTATTGAGGCTAAATAATTTCATATATATATATATATATACATATATATATTTTTTCTTTTTTTATGGCCATACGGTTTTTTTTCTAAATTACTTGTTTATATTCTTTGCCCATTATGCTATTGAAGTGTGTGCCTTTTCAAATAATGTCAGTCATTTATAGTCTAAGAATGTTAACTTTTTCCTATCATATATGTTGGAAACTTTCCTCAAATTTTCTGTTTGCCTTTTAGATTGTTTATGGAATTTCTAGGTAAAGGAAATTGTAAATTTTAAGCCTCTTATTATTTCTGTTAAGTCAACTTTCAAAATAAGCTTGGGAAAGTAAGTGGTGTTGATCTTTAAAAATAAAATAAAAAGAAAATCTCATTGGCAAATAGCATGTTCTAGGCTGAGAGTTTTTTATTCTTATTTTTAATCCTCTTTCAACATTTTTAAATGAATAAAAACGGTGCAATAGACAACGTTTGTGCCCCATTCCCCTCCAAATTCACATGCTGAAATCTTAATCCCCATTTAAGAGGTGATTCGACCATGGGGACAGAGCCCCCTATTGGGATTAGTGCCCATATCATCAGGCCCCAGATGGCTGCCTCACCCCTTCCGCCTTGCGGGTACACAGTGAGCAGTCACTGTCTGTGAACTGGGGGGCCAAACTCTCACTAGACGCCAAGTTTGCCAAGAGCCTAAAGTTTGGACTTCCCAGCAGTTTGGTTCCCCCAGAACCGTGAGAAATAACTATGTTGTTTATAGTCCAGCCAGACCATGGTAACGAACCAAAATAATCAGGTGAAGTAAACATCACTGATGGAGGGGTGGCAGAGGTATTTTCTGAGCTGATTGTATAAATAGTACCCTCCCTTCTTTTGGTTTTAGCTAATGAAGCAGGCTTCTTCTCTCCTTGGTTCACCCCCAAATCAGTCAAGAGCATGAGTCCCATTGTTCTCTTGGGACGACTTGAAAAAGGTGCAGACTCTAGCAAGCGGTGTGTGTGTGTGTGTGTGTGTGTGTGTGTGTGTGTGTGTGTGTGAGAGAGAGAGAGAGTTGTTTGTAAAAGACTGGTGACATAACCCCAAGGTAATAGACATCTACATGTCTGTGTGTGCTTGCTTGGTGACTGATTGGTTCTTTGAATGATTTTAATCATAATTTCCACATTAGTATGCCAGCATTATTATGAATTAAGACATTTATTTTAAAGATGCTCTGCCGTGAGGTAGGCCGAGGTGTGGAAGCTTCCTCTGGTTTGTGCCCACATGGAGTGGGTAATTCTGTAGGTTAGAGCCCCATCTTTCCTCATTGTGATGACTTCAAAACTGGGGTGCCACTCTTGTTGGATGGATTTAAGCCAAAGTTTCAGGAACTCTGAATGGGTCAAAATGAGGCTCTTTGCCCCACATCAGTTTCTCCAGACTTGCTTTATTAGATGATGTTATAATAAACTTGAATAATTCTGATTATAAACAAACTACCAAAGCCTTACCACTCCCCACTCTCTGATACCGAGTTATTTCTCCTACAGGTGCTCCCCAGCTGCCTCCTCACAGCATTTGAGTTTGGTCTTGTAGTTTGGTCTTATTGTCTTGTACATGTGGTGCCCAAAGAGATGTTAAAGCCAAAAACATGCTTAGAAGAGTGTCAGAGCAGGTCATCAGACAAGTGGGGCACGGCGGGGGGACCCCTGACAGGACGGACAGCCTGGGGAGACTCACATAACTCTGGAATGAAGACTGCAGAGAGGGACGCCTTTGAAAGGCCACAGTGGGAACAGGTGTTCAAAGAGGCAGGGCGAGCAGGGGGCGGGCAGGTGCATGGAGCAACAGCCGGCACAGTTGCTGGATGGGCAGGCTGTGTCCACAGTCCCTCCTACCAAGGCGCTTTGGGGCGTCACTGGCATCACCAGCCTGGGACAGACTGTTGTGTCCTGTGGTGGGGCCAGGCTGTTAACAGGGGCCGTGGGCCCAGGGTCAGTGTGTGTCTCCTCCCAGTGTCACCTCCATGCCACTGCGGCAAAGCTCCTGCTGTCTCACTGGGATTGTGCTCCTCAGTTGTGAATTCCGGGCACCCCTGTGCATCCGTGGCTGCATCAGAAACATCCCAGGAAGAGCAAGGCAACATCCCCAAGACATGAAACCCTCACCATCCTAGTTTAGAGAGAGAGCCTTACGTGCACATTGGCTTGAGTTCCCACAAGAGATGTCCTGACAAGGGGAGAAGCACGGAGTTCTGTGGCTTCTTATTAATGACGTTTCCAGAAAAAAAAAGAATAGCAAATAAGATGGCCTAGTGACATTGGTTCTAAAACAGGGGCGTGTCAACAGTTATTTCTATAGCGCTACCAGCTTAAAGTTTTATTTTAAACACAGCTTTAGGAACAGTCTAACGGTTGTGTATCAGTTAACTGCTACGGTAACTTAGTGGCTGGAAGTCACCACTCATTTGATTTCCTCGGGAATCTGCCATTGGGTCAGGGATAGAAATGGCAGCTTGTGTGTGCTCCATGGCACAAGCAAGGGTGCTGGGTTCGAAGGGGTTCACTTCCAAGATGGCTCAGACACAGGCAGGCAGCCCAAGCTGGCTCCCAGAATGGAGGCTGGATCTCAACAGCAAATGACTCTAGAAGTAGGAGGTGAAAACCCCTATTTCCCAAAGCAACAGGCCCCGAGTCACTTCTGCTGCGCCCCGTGTGTCTGGCCATCAATGTGAGGGGACAAAGCTTCACCTCATGATGGACTGAGTGGCAAAGGATTTTGGAGGTGCTTTTAAAACTTACGACTATGGGCTGGAGTGTGGCTGAGTCTTGTAGCCAGGTACAGATGCTGGCTCTGCAATGACAGCCCCGTAACCTGCTCTGCTTCCCAGCCATCCTCTGCAAGACCTGTGTTCTCGTCTGAAAAATACTTGCACTAACAGCACCTAGCTGGTCAAGTTGCTGTGAGAATTGGATGAGATCATCAAGCCAATGGGCTTAGTATCTGGCACATTGCAAGCTTTCACTATATCTCAGCTATTCTAATTTTTAAACAGAGATGGATAATTTGGTAAATGTTTCTTAAAGATGATTTGCTACTGTGGTTTCCCCATTCTTATTCTCTCTCTCTCTCTGGTCCACAGTCAAGTTCTGTGAGTAGGGAATAGGTGAGGCTGGCTGATATGTGCAATTTCTCTTTCCTAAACTAGATGTAAAAAAATGTAATGATGTAAAAGCTTCTTTGACAAATACGTATTAGAGTGAAATGAATTATCTTTAGAATCTGTATCATCCAATTCTTAACATTCTTAACTGGGCCATAAAATCCTCACACTGTTGGCTGGGATACTTTGTGTGTGAAACCAAACAATAATGAATAATTTTACACCTCATAGAACATAAAATTGGCTGGGTGTGGTGGCTCACGCCTGTAATCCCAGCACTCTGGGAAGCCAAGGCCAGTGGATCACCTGAGATCAGGAGTTCAAGACCTGTAATCTCAGCACTCTGGGAGGCCAAGGCCAGTGGATCACCTGAGATCAGGAGTTCGAGACCAGCCTGGCCAACATGGTGAAACCTTGTCTCTACTAAAAATACAAAACTTAGTTGGGTGTGGTGGTGCATGCCTGTAATCCTAGCTACTTTGGAGGCTGAGGCAGGAGAATCACTTGAACCTGGGAGGTGGAGGTTGCAGTGAGCTGATATCACACCACTGCACTCCAGTCTGGGCTACAGAGCAAGACCCCATCTCAAAAAAAAAAAAAAAAAAAGAACATAAAATCGCGGTATGTTTTACAGATTATCTTTATCTGAACTTTTTAGTAACACAGTCTAGGAAAAAAAATGACTTTTCTAATATAAAAAGTAGTGGAAAAAAAAAGAAAGCCAGGAACCACAAATACAAACCTGTAATTCTAAGTGTGCATTTCCATGAAGGCAGGGAGGGTCAGATTTAGTGAAGTACTTGGCGTGTCATTGGCTGGTGTTAGTATATCTGGTGATGACTGTGAGGCTGGAGCTTCTAAAATGTTGACAATTAAAATTCCCTGTAATTTAAAATATTAAAAAAATAAAACCACATATTTCTACTGGAAATATCAAGTTCATTTCTAGATGATCACTTTTCCCTAAAAGGTTTATCTCCACGTTTAATTTGGGTGCATAATGAGGGAAGAAATGCAATGATTCTTTAATTCATGAAAAGTTGAAGGAATGAAGACATTTTTGGCAAGGGCAGCATTTTTATTCTCTGCATTTTTATTTTCTAAAAAGCATGACTCTCTACTGCCACTTTTCTCTATTTATTCATTCTTAAGAATGATAAGATACGAAATGGCCCTAGAAAATCTTTGTTCTTTATATTATTGAATTTTAGTTTCAAATAACATTTTTACTATGTAGTCATCTCATCTGGTAATTATCATGCTGTTTTTATTGACTGTATTGTGATAATACCTAGTCTGTGAAATTTAAAAAGACTTTCTCCTACAACGTCTGCTGGATAATGAGGTGGCACCACACACATAGAATATTTCTTTATAAATCATCATTCTGACATTTGGGAAAATAATCTATATTGAGCAATCATGTTGCCTAAAGTAGTGATGATACAGAACACAAAACACTTGCTTTTCCCTCTGGGCTGATAGCTTTCCTATCAGCATGCATAATTCAACAAGAGAGAGAAGAGAACTAGGTAAAGGACATTCAAAATTGACAGAGGATTTTTAATTGAGTAAATGAGAGATAAATTTCTGGATGGAAATTGAATATTATAAATGTATTAGTCTGTTTTCATGCTGCTGATAAAGACATACCCGAGACTGGGCAATTTACAAGAGAAAGAGGTTTAATGGACTTACAGTTCCACGTGGATGGGAAAGCCTCACAATCATGGAGGGAGGCAAGGAGGAGCAAGTCATGTCTTACATGGATGGCAGCAGGCAAAGAGAGAGAGAGATTGTACAGGGAAACTCCTCTTTATAAAACTGTCAGATCTCATGAGACTTAATCAGTATCATGAGAACAGCATGGGAAAGACTTGTCCCCATGATTCAGTTACCTCCCAGCAGGTCCCTCCCACAAAACGTGGGAATTCAAGATGAGATTTAGGTGGGGACACAGCCAAACCATATCAATAAAGGTATAATTTTTGTCTATATTATGTCATATGTAATTTTAAACAAGATCTAAATGAATTTCCTCTGGAATCTTTATAAATTCACTTACAAATATACCTTGAAAATAAGTGAGTGAGAATAGCCAAGTGCAACTGTGAATTTTAAAAAAGAAGAGCAAGAAAGGGGAATTTAACCTACCAGGACACATAGACATGTAAAACATATTCTCATAATACTGTTTGGACAAAAATGTAATGTAATGCATGTAATTATTGTAAGGTATGTTAATGTAACACATAGCCGCCAAATTAACCCTAGTACATGGAAAAATCTAGTATCTTTCTCTTTTTGTTGATTTATTTATTTGAGACTGAGTCTTGCTCTGTCACCCAGGCTGGAGTGCAGTGGTGCACTCTTGGGTCGCTGCAACCTCCGCCTTCTGGGTTCAAGCAATTCTCTTGCCTCAGACTCCTGAGTAGCTGGAATTACAAGTGCCTGCCACCATACCTGGTTAATTTTTGTATTTTTAGTAGAGCCAGGGTTTCACCATGTTGGCCAGGCTGGTCTCAGGTGATTTGCCCACCTCTGCCTCCCAAGGTGATAGGATTACAGGCGTGAGCCACCACACCCGGCTCTTCTTCCTTTTAAAGGTTTTTAAAATAACAAGTCCAAGTCTCTATTTCCTATGAATAGGCCTAATCACTGATTAAATCTATGTCGATGCTGATGTGTGCAAATCCCATCATGAGGGTATTTGGTGTAAAAGTGGAGACAGTTTTCAGTTGTGTGAGTGATGAGCATTGTGTACATATACATTTGAGACTCTGAGCTTGAATTCTTCAAATTTTCACTAAATCTTCCCCCAAATAACATGCATCAGTGGGTAGTGAACTGTCCTGTCCTACTGAGCCTGGTAAACTGGGTTGCTAAGTTTGGAAAGCCCAGCGAGTCCTATGGAGTGGGAGTGCTCTGTGTTCGAGAGGAGTCCTCGTCATCACTGTGGCGTTCTCCTGGCTTCTTCAGAATTGTTCCTGTGTCCACACACATAGCAACCTTAATATGTAAGTGCTACAAAATTACTTACGTACATGTATTTCTTTATTTTGATATATGAAGGTGTTTGCTATCTTGACCCAAATCTCTGAAGTGAAAACCCAGAAGAAGGTGAGTATGTATTGAACTATATTTTAATATTACATGAGGCTCTTCTGGGCCCAAGGAGACATTAAAAGGGCATAGGTACTGAGGCAGTAACTCACTAATGAGCCACCCTGGCAGTGTGCAAGTCAACCCAAAGTACTTAATGGGATCTCAGGGAGCGGCTGAAGCCCAAGAAAGGTCCAGCTCATTACGTGTGGCCACTAGCTCAAACCATTTAAGTCATGTTTATTTTATTATTTAAGGGAACTTATGCTTTTGCAATACTAAACAAAGAGCAACATAGATGGGACATCTAAGTAGAAGAACGAGTTTACCTGCCATATACACACCATAGGCCATAACTCCTAATTGACCTAGAGGAGGAAAATAGAGGTGATAATGTATTCACAGATCTGCTCATTTGTTTCTTCACAATCATTTCTGAAAGCCGAATATATTCCCGCTAGAAGCTGAAGGCGAAAAGGTGAATAAGACTGTCCACTGCCCAACGACACCCACTGCCTTGCGCTGAACAAAGCAGTCCACTGTGGAGTATTTCAAGGGTCCAGCACAGCCTGATGAGGATGGCTAAGTGTGGGAGGTTAGCTGTGGAGGGGAGACTTCCAAAGGGGACACGATGAAGGCTGGGCCAATGTCAGGACAGAGTCAGGAAAACCGTGTTGTCTGCGTAAAGAGGGCGGCGGCCTCACGGCGAGGTTCACCCTGGTTTTTCTCCTGGTCAGACCCAGGGCACCTGGCCTGCGGGGCTGCACCCATGGCTCTCCTCTCACCCACCCCTGGGACATCAATGTGGGAACTCTCGCTCCAGGAAATCTTTTAATTTCATGGTGCTGTGAAGACAACCCAAGGACCCTACTTAAAATCGCAGCCCTGCCACCTCCTCTGCCACACTTGACCCCTCCTGTCCGGCTCTACTTTTTGTTTTTCCAGAGTGCTTACCACCTTCTCCCATACCATTGCACGCATTCATTACATTGCATATTTACATTTGTCTTCACTGGCTGTAATACAAGCCCCTGAAGGCAAAGGATCTTCATCTATTGTATCCACTGATGTATTTCAAGCTCCTCAAACCTGCCGAGAACATAGTAGGTACATTGCAGATATTTGTGGAATGAATGAATACAAATATTAGATAGGTCAGGAAATCTAAACAGCTAGAAAACATGGCTTGAATACTACTCAGCTAGAACCAAAAGAGACGAGAGAAATGCCGGTGTCCAGTGTTGTCATGGAAACACATGCTGCGGTGGCCACTGCCTGGCTGGGACTAGGACCCCCATCCCCACGGGCTCCACTGAAGGCCCCTTCACCCTCATGCCTGCAAGGAGAGGCAGCCGTGTGCGGCGTCCATCTCCTGCTATTTACCAGCTTGTTGGTGGATCTGCCTGTTTGACAGAAGCTCAGTGGTCTGAGTCATCTTAGTGGCAAGAAAACCTGTGAAATGTGGTTTTGAAATTTCCAGACTCTATAAGACCAAAAGTCAAGGAGAAAAGGGCTCAGAATGGGAAGCCAGTGAACCAGTGCCTGGTCTTGCGGCCGCATAACTCCACGTATCCAGTGAGACAAACCTTTTCTTTCTACGGCATGCTTTTGATTATACTGCCAGGTTATCCCTATTTTCTCAGTCCATTCTTTTTTTTTTTTTTTTTTTTTTTTTGAGAGACAGAGTCTCACTCTGTTGCCCAGGCTGGAGTGCAGTGGCGTGATCTTGGCTCACTGCAACCTCTGCCTCCTGGGTTCTAGCAATTCTCCTGCCTCAACCTCCCTAGTAGCTGGGATTGCAGGTGTGTGCCACCAAACTCAGCTAATTTTTTGTATTTTAGTAGAGATGGGGTTTCACCATGTTGCCCAGGCTGGTCTCCAGCTACTGAGCTCAGGCAATCTGCCCGCCTCGGCCTCCCAAAGTGCTGGGATTACAGGCGTGAGCCACCGCACTTGGGCTTCTCAGTCCATTCTTATAGCATTTTAAGGTATGAATACATTATTATTAGCATTTGATAAATAAGAAATTGAAGCTGAAAGACATCCGGTAATTTCTCAAGGACAAGTGATCTAAGTTAGTAAGTGGTGAAATCAGGCTTTGAACTCAGGCAGTTTCATTTCAAAGCCCCTGCAGGCTACCCATGCATATGCAAGCTACCCAGGTCCCTGCTTTAGTTTATTTGTAATAGGAGAAGAAAAGATGACACGTGTATCCTAATCAGGCTATGGGGCACTTTGAGTTTCTAGGCTAAAAAATGCCACGCAGAACCAGCTACGTCTAGCCAAAGTCCTAAAGCTGGCAAAGTTTATTCTGCAATCATTTACTTATCTGTGGGCCTCTGTACCACTTAGGGTTGGGCCCAGTTGTAAATGTGGTATTGACAAGGGATAGAGAAATAGATGATTGGAAATTGATTTATTCCTTTTGTAGGAGAAAAATGGACTATTTAGTAAATGATAACTTTTAACCCTTATTCATTCATCCAGAAAACCAAAATGAAAATGAAGAAATTAGATCTCCACTTCATATCGTGTGTAAAAATCAATTCTAGACTGATTAAAGTCTTAAGTGTAAAAAGCAAAATTAAAAATTTTAAGACAATATACAAAACAAAAATCAATATGACTATGGGATTTAGGAAGTTTTTTTATTATCATTTTTTCGAATGTCTTTTTAAACAAGACACAAAAATACACACCATTACGTACATGTAAAAGATTGATATATTTGACTATATGTAATTTAAAAAACCTGCTTCTCATAAAAAATGGAAAGTCAAGTCATAAAATAGAAGAAAATATTTGAAACATAAGAAAGCAGTAAGTGTTTAGAGTGCAGCATATATATATTCTTACATATATGTATGTTATATTTTAGCATATGTATAATTTTATATAAGAAAAATACATATTCTATTAAAGATAAGTGAGAAAATGACAGTTGAGGAGGGGCAAGTGCTCGGAAGTTTCTCTTCCGGCCATTTGTGGGCCATATGCTCCTTAGATGGGGTGAACTCTTAACAATCAATTATCATTAACAGCTATAAACTTTAACAAGATACAAAACAAACTGCTCTCTCAGAGCTGTGGCGACTGAACAAGCTCAGGAAGCTTTTGGAGGGAGCCAACCCTGAAGCGCGCGGGGGGCAGAGAACACGTTTGCATTTTTCTACTGCGCCTTTATCTTACAGAAGCTTCCACTGAGGCAGAGCTTACCAAGCCCAGCATCTCCTCCGCTGAAGGCAATCAGGGAGAAAACCCAAGAGCAGCCAGGAGGGAGAGAGGGAGAAAGGACAGCCTCGGAAAGCGGAGGGGGACGGGGGACATCTGATTCTGAGCATAAATGCCCCCCTCCCCACCGCCCCCAGCTCCGGCTGCTGTTTGAACCCCACATGCATAGATCAAACTGAAAGTGGCCTGAAATGATGGCTCAAAGAGCCGGAATAAAGTCTGAGCCATCTCGTCTAATGCTGGCGTAACTCTCCGCACAGAATCTAGTTGAATTAATTACTTACTCAACAAGAGTATCAACGTTTTTCTGAGCAATAACAGAGAATCCAAAGTCTAATGACATAGTAGATATTATCCAAGATTACTCAACCTACAAAAAGCCTAGAAAATGTGACCTCATCTCAGGGGAAAACATAGTCAATCGATATGAGGCCTGAGATGACCTCTGTTGGAATGATCAGACAAGAACATGAATAGTTATCAAAACTATGCTTGGTGTGGCAAAGGAAAATTCACTCATGACAAATGAAAACATAGGAAATGTCACTAAAAAATATAGAAAATGGCCAGGTGCAGTTGCTCACGCCTGTAATCCCAGCACTTTGGGAGGCCGAGGCAGACGGATCACCTGAGGTCAGGAGTTCGAGGCCAGCCTGGCCAACATGGTGAAACCCTGTCTTTACCAAAAATACAGAAATCAGCTGGGCTTGGTGGTGTGTGCATGTAATCCCAGCTACTTGGGAGGCTGAGGCAGGAGAATCACTATAACCCAGGAGGTGGAAGCTGCAGTGAGCCGAGATCACGCCACTGCCCTCCAGCCTGAGCAATAGAGTGAGACTCTGTCTCAAAAAAAAAAGAAACCATAAAAATGACCAAGTGGAAAATTAAGAGTGCATAGACAAAACGTCTACATGAACAACTTGACTGGAAGAACTTAACGGCAGAGCAGGGCCGGCAGTAAAAAGGGCCAGTGGACAGGAAGATGGATCCGTAAATGGTACAGAATCTGAGGATGTGAGAAAGAAAAAAAAGGATGGAATTTTAGGGAACCCTGAGATGATTTCAGAAGTCTAGCTTATGTGAAGAGGAGTCTTGAGGGAGAAGGGGCTAGAACACACATGAGGGACCCCAGGACACAGGAGACAGAGGATGAGGCAGAAAAGATAGTGAGGGAATCATGCTCAAAGTCATCCCAAATGGGGAAAGATGCAAATTGACATATTCAAGAACGTTAGTGAACCTCAAATAGGATAAAATAAAAAAAAAGCTTTGACTAGGCATATTATGGACAAACTGCTAAAACCAAAGATAGTGAGGAAACCCTGGGGTTACCAGGGAAAAATGACAAATTATACACAGGGGATTGATTATCTTAATTATTATTGAGTTCTCATCGGAAGCCATGGAGGCAACAAGATGGCCCCAAAACTTTTTAAATTGCCCAAATTTAAAAAAAACTAAACACCTGTTAATCCAGAATTGAAAGTTCAGTAAAAATATCCTTCTTAAATGAAATACAAATAAAAACATTTTCCAAAAAAAAAAAAATGAAAGGAATCGGCAGCCATTAGACCTGCACTTCCAGAAATGCTGAAAGAAGTTTTTGAAACTGAAGGAAAGAGATATGGGAGGAAATGTGGATCTTCAGGAATGAGTGATAAGCATCAGAAATGAGAAAATTGTGAGGCAAACATAAAAAGCATGATTTCTCCGTTTTTTAAAAATCATGTAGTCATTTAAAGCAAATCTAACATGGTCTTTATAATATATATATGTAACACGGTGGGATTTATAACATATATGTCATATGTAAGATGCCCTTAGCATATAATACAGCTGGAGAGGGTAAATGAATTAATATGTTTGCAGATTTCTCTCTCTTCTGTAGAGTGGTACGGTATTAACTCTAAGTAGACTACGAGAACAGGTATATTGTAATCCCTAGAGCAATCATTACAAAAATGCAAAGATACACAGCTAAAAAGGCAACTGATAAGTTAAAATAAAATTTAAACACAATCTAAAAGGAGGCAGGAAGGAGGGAAGAGAGAAACAAAACACAGAGGGGTGACAAAGAAATGATAAAATGATAGGCTTATTTTTATTCAATTTTGTGATAATGGACTGAACGGTCCACTTAAAAAGCAGAGACACCTGACTATTTGCTGTTTATAAAAGATGATGTACTTACAGTAGTTCAAAAATTAATGAATGGAAAATATAGTATCTAAACAGGAAGCATTTGAGGGCTGAAGTTGCTGTATTAACAGCAAACTCAGTCAAAATTGTTACCAAAGATAAGAAAATTTCACATTGATAAATAGACCAATTCATCAGAAGGCTATAACAAATATAAATCTCTATGCACCTAAAAATAAAGCCTCAAAATACATAAAGATAAAATAGTATTAGAGGGAGAAAGAGAAGATTTCACAAACATAGTAGGAGATTTAAAAATCCTTTTTCAAGCAACTGACAGAACCAACTGGAAGAAAATTAGTCACGACACAGAGAATCTAAATAACTCTATTATTCACCTGGATCTAATTGATGATAGAACAGTATGTCCCAAAACTAATTACTTTATTGAATAAAGCCGTAGTTAGTTGGAAAGTTGTAAGTTTAACTATAAATACAAAAGACTGAAAACAAGTAAGCTGAATTTTAAATTCCAAAAATCAGCAAGGAAAAAAATAAGCATCAGATCAAAATAAAAAATAAGAAAGAGAAATGCGAACAGAAATCGATACAATAGAGAAGTACAGGAACAGGGTGGCGGCAGCCATAGGAACAACCAATGATCACGAAAGAGAATAATTCAAAATTCCAAAAGCTGAGTTTTTAAAAATATTAATAATATCAAGACTGATGAAGGAAAAAGAGAGAGGAGATGAGAAAGGGAAATGGAGAGAGAACAGGAGGAGGATGAGGAGCAGACAGAGAGAGAATAAGAATGTAAATAAGAGTCCAGAGTGAGAAGAGGAAAATCATAGTCACCAAAGAGAGTTTGGTCAAGAGTAAGAGAAAATTTCAACATCAGAAAATCTATCAAATGATTTATCTCAAAAACTGCAGCACAAAAGTCTTAGGATAATCTTGATAAAGAAAATACATTTAAGTTCAAATTTATTTGTCAGAAAAAACTACCAAAAAACTAGTAAGGAATTTTTTCACTTGTTTGTTGATATTACTGAGTGTCAACTATATTCTAGCATTATTTATGCATTGAAATATAGCTTGGAATTTTATCGCTTTATTTTCATGTCATATTAATATCATTTTAGAGAGCTATAACCTTCCTAGGCAACACAGTATATCCATTTATAACCATTTATATAAACAGCTTAGGAATTGGCAAATTATATAACTGCCTCTCTCAGTTCAGAATCCTCTGTCATTCCTACACATAATAACTTTACTTTTTGTTTCTTTTGGCCTTTATAGGTATCGGCAAATATTAGCATATGTATTGAGTGTTGTCTTAGAGTGCTAAAATTAAGACCTGTAGTTATCAAGTGAACTATGGAACTACAGATCTTAGATTTCAAAAGGTGTAGGGTTTGTGTATATGTGCATGTGTGCACATGTGCACAGCGTGTGTGTATAATTTGTTTGTAACTTGACCTTTCCTTTCCTTGAAGAAGGGCACAGGAGACAGTCCTAGACAGGTTCTCCATATTTTCTTCGTTCAGAAGTGGCTCAAATCTATTTTTTTTGCAGGTGCTAAATAAAATCAAGATGAAGCTAAACAGATGGTCACACCTCCCTCTTCTCATCTCAGTTAGTCAGCCTGATTAAAATGGTCATTCTTCCAAAACTTGCATGTCTTATGCAAATGCTTCAAATATTTCCACAAACCATATGTCCAATATCCTAACTTGAGGGTGAGTAGATTTATGTGAAAAGTTAGTATCGACACCCACTCCAATAATGCATTCCCAGAGATTTCAAAGGAATTCCGTTGGGGTATTTTGGTTTGGCAGACACCGATAAAATGTAGAAATTTCTATTCGAGTGGTTAAAATATTCAGTCAGTGGTGTCTTTAACAAGAAGCAATCTGTACCCCTGAGTAGTTAACTGTGAACTTGACAAACATCAAATGCTTATGTCTTGTATAAGAAAATGACATTTTAGCCTTAAGTAAAAATTTAAGATGTCTTCATAACTTAAAAATAATTGTATTTCATTTCCTTTATTTAATCTGAATTGAAGACCCCATTTTTTGCCAAGATCCATGTTGAAGAAGAATGTCTGGAGTTGTGAATGAATGAATGAGTTTTCTGTTTACATTCTGTGGCCATGGTACAGATTGTCCAGAATGGCCCGCTCCCCATTCTGGACAATCACCTGAGGACTGAGTCCCAGGTTCCATGTCTGTTATGGTGATAATAATAGGTCACTTTAGGGGAGTCTGTGAGGATGACCTTCGGTGACCCGTGTGCAGAATCTCTCAGAATTGTGAGGCTCAGAAAACAAGACCCCAAAGTATGGCGCCAGAGCATGTCAAGTGCTTTGAGCTGGAGGAAATGGGAAGGCCGCCTACGCCAGGTCTCTCCGACCCTCTCCTGCCCTCATGTCTCTCTCTGCCCTCTTTCTGCCCCAAAGTGAGTCATAGAAAACAGAATTCCCCTTCCCTAAGGTGGGTCATGGGCACTAGAATTCCTCTCCCCAAAACCAGCCATGAAACTTAGAAAGGTCACTGTCTCTCTTCCTCCTCGGAGACCCTCATTCCAGAGGAGTCCTGCCCTCTTCCTGAGAGGTAAGGAACACAAATGGAGAAGCCATGGAGAACAGGAACAGGTGGGTCTTGCTGGGCTTACCCTCACTCTCTCACCATTAGATCACAGTCTTCTGTCCCATCACATTCCTACATGTCTGTCCATGCTTCCATCCATCCTAAGTGTAAAAAGACACAGTTTTCCCTGGGCCTTTGATTCTTCATTTCTGAAGGATCTCGTGTCATGTAAAATTTGGACTAAATATTATGCCTATTATGCTTTTCTCCTGTTAACCTGTCTTTTGTTCTAGGAGTCTCTGCTATGACCCTTGTGATGGGTGAGGGAAGACATCCCACCTATCGGACTCTACAGAATGCATGCTCAGGCCCTCCGTAAATACCTTCTGTCTATAGGAATATCGATGAAATACTCAAGTAATTAATCTTTTGCTGAGCATTTACTCTGCGCATGCAAAAATTGAAAATGGCCCACGTTTCTAGGGGGAAATATTACCGCCGAATTCATTGATTCTGGCTTCTGAACACTTCTTCAAGAAGCTGGTTAGAGCACCTACCTACATTCAGAAAATTCTTAAGAGAGATCAATATTGTATGGGGATTCTTGATTATCAGGTTAATTTGGACTATAAATACTCTCTTAATTGGTCTGCAATGCAATTACCAGTGAATCCCACAGCACCAAAAATGTGTAGTTATTCACACATACACAGGTCGATGACACAGGACCCTCTAGGAACACTGGTGCACTCTCTTTATTTGCAGAAATTATACATATGCTCTCGATTCAAGCCTCCAGGCTAATTACTGATCCTCCTTGATTAAAAATGTGAAATTTTAAATTAAACCTACGTTTAATCAAATATTTCATTAAAGTAATTTTAAAATGTTTTGCAAACCACACTATTAACATATTAGGAATGTTACACAATGTCCACTTTTATTAACACATCAATTAGTCAGCGTTTACTGCCTGGGTGACTGCTTTCCAACAAGGATTGTCAAGCCTCCAAGAGTTAATGATGGAAGTAGGCTGCAGGAAATCAGCTTTCCACTTTTCTCATTTTATTTTCTAACTTCCCATCCCTAAGTCAGGTTCTGACATACACGTTTGAATAAGAAGATGATCACCTGAGTAAGAAAAATATCATTTTGTTGTTACTATGTCTAGTTATTTATTCATGTCATAAGATAGCCCCTTTATCAGTTGAAAGCTCCTGGAATTACTTCTGATTTAAAGATTATAATGTCTTTTTGCTCCCAGGACTGAGCCTCCTGGCTCACCATGCACGCACACCTTTCACATAACTGATGTGTTCAGTGTCATCAGCCTGCTATTTCCTAGGGTCTTCTAGGGTGGACCACCTCTCCAGCCACTGTGGCCACAGCTGTGGTGAAAACCATCCAGTGGTCGTCCTTTTGCATGGTTCATAGTCAATAGAGACGGACAATTTTAGTCGTTGAAATTGTACTGCTAAGCAGACGTACCAAACCCATGAGTTGGATCAGAAGTGAAAGCTAGGATAGGTGTAAATTCAAAACACCTGCACTCGTACTATGGTGCCACATTGAATACTAAGGGAACAAATATTTTTGAGGCACAAAATGCCCAAATTAGGGATTTTGAGAACTGATTGTGTCTCTATAATACGCAAGTGGTGTGATGAAACGGGGGCAGTGTGCTTTGATGGTTTTATCCTCCAGAAAAAGTAGAGGCTCCCACCAGACCTTGTAACACATGTGTCATGAATCAATCTCACCTTCAATTTGTTTTCTTTATTTTTGACCTACTTGAGGCTCTCAGCTCTTTATCGGCAGACAAGAGTGTCTCTCCTTAGCAGACAAACCGGGGAGATACATTCAGATTGTATCTGTTTCCCTTTTAAATGGAAGACGGCTTTATCCTTCCCTCCCCACTGCCCGGTTTCCAAATGATTTCCACGATTCTCTCAATATGACCCAGTCTCTCAGACTTGGAATCTTCCAAAATCTCACCATCATATGGGCAGAAGTGGCACTTTGCTTTCTGGCTCAGTCTCAACCCCAAAACTCCACTGCTGCCCTTGTCTGCCTTCCCCCGGGAGGACTTCTCGTCGCCAGTTTCAGGGGGAACATGGAACTGTACTCATGATGGGATTTGGGCCAACCCATCAAAACCCATGACACTATCAATGTGTCTGTGCAGCTGACATGTGAATTATTTAGAAACCACTGGGCATGTAAACTGGAAGACCATGTGTTTGGACTGTTCAAATTGGCAAGTGACTGTCTGCTGAAACTTCCTCTGCTTCCTGTAATAGAACTCAACTTCTCCTCCAGCGCCCTGTGCAGAGTGACTTACGTAAGTGCTGTGCACCCAGAGTCAGCCCCTGGCATTTCATAACTCAGCTTTGGTAACCATGTGGTAACATGATTCAAACATTTTGCAAGCTAGTAACCTTTGCTGATAAGTAGTATTAATACCTCCTACCAGAGCTCTGCGTTTACCGCTGAATCAAGTAAACTCCTCACTCCCTTAGAGTGTTGAATACAGTAGCAGATTATTGTGAAATGAATCAATAAATACAGTTTGAGGTGGGCTTTACTGAACTGGAATGACAATCTGGCATCTTTAGCTGTGGTTGGAAGTTAACCTCTACCCGGTCCTGCTCAAGTGGCTTTCTTTCTAACTATGCTCACTGTCCTGGGCTGAGTCTCCAGTCTTTTTGTGTGTGTGTGTGGTTTTTAATGACATTAAGAATAATAAATTGGTTTGGGGGATGAATCACTATTTTAATAAT
Source organism: Homo sapiens (assembly GCF_000001405.40). Classification (NCBI taxonomy): domain Eukaryota; kingdom Metazoa; phylum Chordata; class Mammalia; order Primates; family Hominidae; genus Homo; species Homo sapiens. Next base: position 3,720,287 of record NC_000010.11, on the reverse strand, counting down.
TTTTTTTTTCTTAAAAATCACTATAAATGCCTGGAATTCTGAATTTTAGATGAAAGATCTCAGTTTCTTCTGGTGATAAGCATTTGTCTATACATTTTCTTTTCTTTTTTTTTTTTTTTTTTTTGAGTCCGAGTGTCGCTCTGTCCCCCAGGCTGGAGTGCAGTGGTGCCATCTCGGCTCACTGCAAGCTCCGCCTCCTGGGTTCACGCCATTCTCCTGCCTCAGCCTCCCGAGTAGCTGGGACTACAGGCACCTGCCACCACGCCTGGCTAGTTTTTTGTATTTTTAGTAGAGACAGGGTTTCACCATGTTAGCCAGGATGGTCTCGATCTCCTGACCTCGTGATCCGCCTGCCTCGGCCTCCCAAAGTGCTGGGATTATAGGCATGAGCCACCGCGCCCGGCTGCATTTGTCTATACCTTAACCAGGGATACGTCTGCACTGGCTCAGGTCTGTTCACACTGGGGCCAGCTCTCTTTCTCTCTGTCTCTCTGTCTCTTTGGCTCTGGACCTGTGTACTTGCCTGTCTGTGTTGGGATTCATGACCTCATTCTTCTCCTCATTCCTCTTGATCACACTCCTCCCAAGAGAGAGGCTGTTCCTTCACTCTCCGATGTTTCCACCCTAGTCCTGCTCAGGTGGCTTCCTGGGGAATCCCTGAAGGCTCTCCTCCTCCCGCCAGGGGCTTGGCAGGCTGCAGGCTCAGGTGCTGTTACGGAGCTACTGGTTCCCGGGCATGGCCACGTCCCAGCAGAATAACTTCTCAACTTCCAGTAGCCCTCGCAGCTCCCGCCGTTCAGAAGACATGAAACAAACACACGAGAAAGTGACTCTGCAGGTAGAACTAGAAGCTGCCCAGCTGCTTCGTTCCCAGCCTGAGAAAGCCGTCCAGGAGCAAGCGGACATCTGAGTCACACGAGGCCTTTTGTGACCAGCAGCCTGAGGCCTGACCTGGGCCCTTCTCTGCAGTCCCTGGACGCCCATTGTCAGGTGCCCTTTCACACCTCACAGACCCTGGACAGGCCCCTGAGTGGAGGAGCGTGCTGGCCCAGCCTCCACTCACCCTCGGGCCCCAGGCCAACATGACAGCCCCTGTCTCCAGGTCCAGGCCCCTCCTTCCACCCCAGGGTCCTGCCTTTCCCTGCCGGGCCCCTGTCTTGTAATCAGTCTGGCCCCTGCCCCACAGGGCTCTCCCTTTCTCTGCTCCCATCTGTCTGAGGACCAGCCTCCCTGAACCCAACCAGCCTCCCTGGACCTCCCTGTCCCCAAGCTCCTATAGGTTTCCTTGTCGGCCATCCCCTGATAATTTACCTGAAGCTTTTCTAGCATCCATGCCTTTAGCTCATGGTGCTGCTTCTTAATCTACTCCCTTGGGAAATAAGGGGATGTAGAGCAAGAGCTCAAGACTTGGGGTCAAATGGACAAGGTTGAATCTCTGGGTTTGGCCCCTCTGTGTGTAGGATTTGGGTAATTTATGCCAGCTCTAGCTCCTCACCTGCAAACCAGACCCAACAGTGGCCATGGCATGAGGTTGTTGGTAAAGGTTGGACAAGGCTCTGAGAGCAGCTATGACACAATGAACATAGATGAGGAGCCAGTAGGCATCAGCAGACTTTCCTTCCTCTGACTTCTTGGGGGAACTTCTCTGGCTGTCCCAGCTCCATGCGTCCGCCTAGTCTCAGGCTCACCCGTGTTCCTGGCCCATCAGAGTCTGTGGTCTCTAGAGATAATGTTCATTATAGGCAACATGGAACCCTTGCTGTGAATCAGGCACAGTCCTGGGCACTTCACAGGCATGATCTCACTCGGTCCTCCACACAGCCCTGCGTGTGGCTACCTGCAGGTGAGGCCTTGAGGCTTGAAGAGGTGGAGCGGCTGTCTCACTGCACCTGTGGTAAGGGTGAGATCCCACATGTGTCTTCAGGACCATCTGTGCACACGGAGTTCCTACATTTCTTTCTTAAAGCTCAGACCTCTTCTCAGAGCTTCAGGAAAGTATATCCAGCTAACAAGTGGACAGTTCCACCTGGGGACATCAAAGCCCTTCAGCCTTGGCCCGTCCAGAGCAAGACCTGGCTCCGTCCTCCCGAGACCCTGGTTCGCCTCACTTCCTCTGGGGCCTCCATCATAGCCAGAACAGTGAAGTCTGCGCAGTTGTTCATGCCAGAAATCCGGCAGTCATCCCCGGCCCTCCCTCCCTCCCCACTTCCCTCCTTCCCTCCCTCCCTCCCTCTTTTTTCTCCCCAGCCCCACACAGTCCATTGCTAACTCCCCCGATCTTGCTCCCTAGCTGTACCCTGTACATTGTTCTCTGTCTCCATGGCTGCATTCGCGGTGGAACCTCACCTTCTCTCATCTGTTTCTGGCGCTCATTTTCATCCCATACTGCGCTTGCAGCTGGAGTGGCCTTTTACACATTCAGTCCCTCTTGTGTCTAAACTGCTTAGGTGGCTTTTCAATGATCTTTTGATGAAGACCCAAATCCTTAACGTGGCGATGAGGCCCCACGCCCTCTCAGTCCATCTCTCCCTTAGCCTTTCCTTCTCAGGTCCCGGTTCCTTCTCGGGTCCTTCTCTCGGCTCCTTGGGGGGCCTCCTCCTGCAGGGTCCCTTGCCCTGTTCTCTGGGGCCCATGTCGCTTAAGAAGGGCGGACTCTGCAGACCTCAGGAAAATGCTGCTCTTGTGGTAGCCCAGACTAGCCCAGGCCCCCATACGCTGGTGCCACAACATGTGTGTGTCTTGACTTCAACGGCTGGTCGTCTCTGTTTGTAATTTTGCACTGGCATGATGCGTGCTTGCCTTTCCCACTTGGTAGAGTCACACCTCTTAGGTTCAGGCACGGGCGTTCCCCTGTGTATCCCACCTCTCATGTTCTCCACCGTAAATACTTATCCTGGCTTCTAACCCGGGGCCTGCCCATGGCTGCGATCTCATTGGTACGTGTTGATTAGATGAACAAATCAATGCAGTAATAGATGAGAGAAAGAGGGGCACGAACCTCTTCAATGGAGAATTAAGGTACAGCAAGGTTTCCTGCCATGAAAGGAGCCTATGTCTCAGATTAATACCGTATCAACTCTATTTATTAAGAAATATTTATCGAACGTTCCTATAGATCAGTTGCTTTGATGACTATCTCCTCTGGGAAAATACACCCCAGTTAAATCCTCAATCTGTACAAACTTAGATGTTTTCTATGACTGATTCTACGCTGCAGGATCCCTGGGCCACGGGGAGGGAGCACAGCCACCCATGCCATCCCCACGTTTCCTGCTGCTCCAGGGCCCTGCATTGGTGAGGGATGAGTGAACCGCAGAAAGGGGAGAGGGTCTGAACCCTTGAGGCTGGAAGGAGAGAAGCACTTCTGCCTGCAGTGTCCTTCTCAGAAGCAATGTTTACAAGATGAGAGTCAGCTCCGGACAGCTGAGAGTTGGGGCTTCTGTGCGTCTCCAAGGGGCAAGACATTCTCCTTCCTTCATCTTCACCTTCCTCTTATTTCTGAACACCATTACCTGGGAGCAAACGCTTTTTAGAGGTGAATTTGGGCTCAAAGGAGGATTTCTAGGGCAAGGAGAACTGGGAATTTGATAGAGTTTCAGACGTTTTTGAAGATTATCTCTGGAAAAGTGCTGTGGCTGAGGTCCAATTCTGCTGGCTGGCTTTTCACACGTCTTCCAAATCTGTCCAGGTCACATCTTGAGAAGAGCAGATTGGTAATTTTTTCACCCGTTTATCAGCCCCTAGAGCAACTCTCAACGCTTCTTGCTTTGGTGCCTCATTTCTCTGAGATGAGTGAACATTCTGCGTCGGTTGCTTTGCTCCGTTTTGAAGGTAACACTGTCTAGAGCTCCCTTAGACAATGAGTTTACCCAAGCATTAACCAGCCTTCGGGATTTAGCAACACAGACACGCAGGCATGCATGAGTGGATGCATGCACACACAGACACACACGTACACACATGGGACAGCCCACACACAGAGGTTTCCTCTGCAGGCACAGACACAGGTTACAAGTGACGTGGAAGTCTGACTCAGTATTTTATCACCTACGTGCGTCCCTCTATTTGTATCAGTGCATAAGTGGGGATATTGTTTTGCTTTTACATATTTGCAGGCTGAATGCATGTTCAGATTTTAACAAGAGCATTTACCAAGCACCTTTACAGGATACACCAGCTTTACACATTATGGCCAGCTCAGGGTGTCTGCAGGCTGGGTTTCTGATGCTCACTTGACAGAGTCAGGATATTCTTAGAGAGGCTGCAACTGGTCTCTGCCTTGCCACTCATGTCCATTTCCAATCTGGGAAACAAGGATGTTCTTTGTTTTCCACCTGCCCATACTAAACATGATTCTCTTCTTTTGAAAATATAAAATCATGGCCGGGTACAGTGGCTCACGCCTGTAATCCCAGCACTTTGGGAGGCCGAGGCAGGCAGATCACCTGAGGTCAGTATTTCAAGACCAGCCTAACTAACATGGTGAAACCCCTGTCTCTACTAAAAATACAAAAATTAGCTGGGTGCAGTGGTGGGCACCTGTAATCCCAGCTACTCAGGAGGGAGGCTGAGGCAGGAAAATCACTTGAACCCAGGAGGCGGAGGCTGCAGTGAGCTGAGATGGTACCATTGCACACCAGCCTGGGCAACAGAGCAAGACTCCATCTCAAAAAAAAAAAAAGAAAGAAAGAAAGAAGAAAAGATAAAACCACTAACATATGCTCAGTGCAGAAAATGTAGAAGACATAGGAAAAACAAGGAGTGTAGATTTTAAAAAATCATTAGCATCCCACAATCACTATTCTACTTAAGGAGGATTCGACACCTCTAACTCTGCTAAACGAGGGTGATGTGTCTCTTTTATGTCACTGGCACCTTACTCAGGGCATAGTCGTGCTGATATTACTCATCATTTTTCTTATCCTCATGGAGACTCTTGCTTGGTTTTCCTCAAAGGGAAGTTAGCACTCCTGCAGACACACAAAAAAGCCAGGAATCAATCTTGAAAACTTTGGTATCTAGTGCCAGCATCTTCTGAACATTTTTAGATAATTGGTTGTGTAATTGTGAGGTTGATTTGATGATCTCTCATTTGTTTCTCTTCCTCTAGGGCGTACAAAGGGAGAGAGTGGTGATGCCACACTTACAGCGGATATTACTAATAGCCTGGCCAAGTTTAAGAAATGTATACATTCTGAAATTAAAAAGACCTATTCTGAGAAAATCATAAACAGAATGCATTCCCTATGTTCTTAAAAAAAACCAAAAACCTGATTAAATCTTGGTCTAAGAGATCAAAACTTCTTCCCCCCACTTTCTGGTGGAGGCTTATTACATTTATATTTGACTTTCTTGTTGCCTGTCAATAGGCATGAACATATCTTCCAAGTGGGTTTTGAGCTTTTAATAATAATTTTTAGAATGGTAGCTTTAGGGAAAGCAATGGTGCATGTGCATTTTCTCACTGTGCGCTCCAGACATCCACTAATAGGCATGTTCCGGTCCTGTTTCACAATCCTCAAAAGCCTCCTGGTGAGACTCGTCTATATATGGTTTAAGTAAAAGTAGGACGCAGAGTTTATCTTTTCCTGAAGAAAGTAGCTGCAGGCAAAAACCCGAACTGTAAACCAGGCATTGCCATTTAGAGGCATGTACTGTGTGGGAAGACGGCTCTGTCCTTAGTAAAAGTGAAAAGCTCTTTCTTATTTTCTACCCTGGTATTTCTTTCATTCCACAGCAGATTTGACCATGACTTTTTTTTTTTCAGGGATATTTGTTTTTGAAGTTTTTATACATTTTTTGTTTTAGAGAGTGCCAATTTTCTTTTTTTTTCTTTTTTTTTTTTTTTTTGAGATGGAGTCTCGCTCTGTTGCCCAGGCTGGAGTGCAGTGGCGCTATCTTGGCTCACTGCAAGCTCCGCCTCCCGGGTTCACACCATTCTCCTGCCTCAGCCTCCCGAGTAGCTGGGACTACAGGCACCCGCCACCACACCCGGCTAATTTTTTTTGTATTTTTAGTAGAGACAGGGTTTCACCATGTTAGCCAGGATGGTCTTGATCTCCTGACTTTGTGATCCGCCTGCCTTGACCTGCCAATTTACATTTTTAAAAACAACCTTATAGAAGAAGCAGAATTGAACCAAAAAAAAATCAATTAAAAAAAAAACCCTTATGGAAGCAGCAAAACCGTTGCTGGGGTTAATCTTGTTGTAGAAAAAGGAGCTCAAGATAAAACTGATACTGTAAGTTACTCATGTGTTGTCCAGAACTTTCTATTTTGGCTGAAAGAAAATCTAGTTGTCTTTCCTGGTTCTTAGATGAATTGCTATTTTATGTCTGTGGGTGGCAGAAAAAAGAAACAGCAATGTATTCTGCAAGCAATGTTACATGCTTTAAAAATTTACCTTGGTTTATTGCTGCATTTTGTGGGCCTCCAAGTGAGAGAGACACTGATCTCCTTATTCAATCTGAAGACACATCTACTTCCTGGAGAAACAGCTCTGAGGGCATCCCCTCTAAATGGCGATTGTCCTGCTGGTCCATGAGCAAAAGACATGCACCACTATGGCCATCCTATTGCAGGAGACACTGAATTTCTACCAGAACCGGCCCCAGGAAGAACTCTCACGACTTCTGCGGATATAGCTGCAATATCTATCCATCTTCAATTTGGACAGTTTGAGGTCAAAATACTCATTCACCATGTACTGCATTTGAATCAGGAGAAAGATGTATAGTGCTAATTGTTACTAGAGGGAAAATAATAATGCAATTATTCTACCACTCCCCACGTGTTTATTTTTCTTTAATCTTGAAGACCTACATACCTAGTGTCATTCATTCATTTTATATTGTATTTCTGTGATATATTAAGTGCTTCCTTCCTTATAAATAATGTAATTGTTGTGCACATAAACTTGGTAGGGTAAGTTAATCAGAATAGAATCTAAACGCGATAATCCTAATCGGTGTTGGCCATTTAGCATTGTTTATTAGCATGAGAGATGATAGCAAGAGTTTTTGACTATTAAAATTTGTGGAGTTTGAGATGTTAGTGGCAAAGATTCATGCAGAGGAACGCTGCCCCTTTATAAGTAAGGCCTAAAACTCAGCCAGCCGCTGTCGCTGTCATTGGTGCAGGACCTGAGGTTAGGAGATCCGGAGACCGATGGTCCTATCTCTCTGCACCTCTTGGAGGGCCTTGCCTCCTGTAGAGCTGGTTAGAATTTTCTGTCTGATTCAGAGAAAGCCTTCTGTATACAAGGCTGGTGAGTGCACTTGATGTCAATGAGAAAGTCCTTTCTGGAAGATAGATACTTTGTATGACCATATGTGTCTCCTGGCAGATCTCTCTCTCTCTCTCTTTCTCTCTCTCTCTCTCACTCTTTCTCTCTCTCTGTCTCTCTCTCCCTCTCTCTCTCTCTCTCTCTGTGTGTGTGTGTGGCATTAATTATGCTAAATTTTACATTCATTAAAATGATGAAGCATCAAGACTACAGGAATGCCCTCCCGGTATAATTGTGTGAAATATACACAAAACAATGCTCTTCAGACATTGGATAACTGGTGGCCCAGGGTAGAAATTTATGACAAAAGAGAAACAGACAAGGTGAGCTCTCAAATTGCCTCAGGTCAGTGCCTGAAAGTAGTTTTCAGGCCACCTTTCAAAGAGTGGAAATTGAAACAAGGCCTGGAGATTGTGCTGAATGGTGAAGACCCAGAAATGATTTCAGGATGCAAAGGGGGCTAAACTGTGTGAGGCAGAGCTCTTTAAGGAAGGAAATACCCAAAGAGAGTTTTTCAGATGATCAGAGGGTCCCCCTCATTTTTGTTGGAGTACTGACCTGCACATCCTTCAGTTTGAAGAAACTGTCTCCAGAAAGCAGCAAACTAAAACAATTTCTGGGCCTTACTCAGGGCTAGGAAGAGTTTCTGTGGACTAGAGTGGAGAGCACTCATAACAGACAAGGCATTGGTGAGGGTTCTAGGAAGGGACATACCTTAGCTGTGGGGCTAAAGTAGTCCTTGAGTAAGCTATTGACCCAGATTACCAAAACTTAAATGAAATTTCATAAAAGTGAAAATGATCTGCAATAACTTAACTGCATGCCAGAACAAAGGCCAATACTCTTTAAAGGAATACAGCAAAATCCAGCACTCAACAGTGCAAAGTTCACAATGTCCAGCATTCAGTCAGAACTTATGAGGCATGGAAAGAAGAAGAAAAATATGAGTCATAAAGTAATCAATAAACCAGATCTAGAAATGGCAGGGATAATGAAAATACCAGGAAAACCTTAAAATAACTGTAATTAATCTTGACAATATACTGAACAATGTAAAGGAAAACATGAATATAATGAGAGAAATAGAAGATATAAATGAAGACCCAGATGGAACTTTTAAGAATGAAAAAATGTAGTATTCAGAAGCCAATTTGCAGAAGTGGAAGATAGTACTCCTGGAGATGTATAATATTCGGGCTAAAAGTATTATTATGACAAAACAACTGAATTAGCTCAAGTTGATCTCTAAAAGCTCTGTTCTTCCTAGATATGAATTTTGACCTTTTACTCAAGCCCTCTCCTTCTCAGTCTGGCCCAGCAAACTGAAGAGGGTTAGCTCCTCTGCTCCTCAGCTGGGTGAACCAGGCTTAACTGCTGCCAGCAATGGTAGTCTTCCAATGTCAGTCATTTAGGAATGACACAATCATAAATCACAACATGCATAACAACTCTTCTCACTTCTCTCTCTTTTTCTTTTTCTTCAAGACAGAGTCTTGCTCTGTTGCTCAGGCTGAAGTACAGTGGCATGATCACAGCTCATTGCAGCCTCAACCTATTTCTCATTTTTGAAATCCAGTAATACTTAAGATCTTTCAGAATAATGCTATCAACTTCTCTTCTCTAAATGTGTAGATTTTTATGTCTGAAACATCCAAAATGCCCCTCTGCCCTCATCTCTGTGTGTGCATGTGTATGTGTATGTCCATGTTGTCTGTCTATGTGTGTGTTGCATGTGTGTTGGGTGTGGGGGTGCATGTGGATTGATATGTGCATGTGTGTCATGCACCTTTTTGTCACATCACATTCATGTGTTATGGGTAGCACATATATATGTTGTGTGTGCATGGATATATTGTGCACACTGCATATGGATGCATGTTATAGGTACGTGATATTTGTGTGCATGTGTTGTATGTCTATGTGTCACATGTGTGATGTTTGTGTGCGTGTGTTGAGTGTCTGTGTGTTGCACATGTGTTGTTTGTGTATGTCTGCTGCATGCATGTGTATGTCTGCTGAATGCATGTGTATGTTGTTCAAACACATGTGTGTGTTTTTGCATGTGTGTGTGTCCATGTGCACATCTGTGAAGACATGTTTGGATATATGCATGTTTATTGCATGCACTTGTGTTTACGTACCCATTGTGTGCATGCATGTGTTTGTGTGTGCATTTGCATGTTTGTGGTAGGCACATGCATGTTGTGTGTGCATGTGCATTATGTATATATCTGTTATGGGTGCATGTGTTCGTGTGCATGTTATGTGCATACACGTATTTCTATGTGCACTCATGTGTGTGCATGCCTGTGCTTGTGGTGTGTGCATGTGTGTATGTGCATGTCTCTGCTGTGTTTGCATGTGCATCATATGTGTAGATGTTGTGTGTGCATGTGCATGTATGTGTGTGGCGTATGTGCACATGGGCATGCCTGTGTGTTATGCTTCCCGGGTTCATTGTCACTTGCTCTTGGAGGGCACCCTGGACTTCACCCTGTCATCACCATCTCACTATCTTGAGCCTGGATTTGTGCTATTCTATGTATCTATCTCACATACTCTCTGCTTTCTGTCTTAGAATTCATCACCTTTCATTCTAAATGCCTAGTTACTTTTCTGTATCACAGAGATCATGAGCTCTTTTACAGGAATAATCACACTGATTTTGATACCCCAGGATGTGGTGTCACATGTTAAATATCACCTGATGCTCATTTCATGCTGTGTCATTGCTCGTAACCCAGAAGGTTGGCAAGACAGAATTCAATTTTGAATCTAGAACAAACCTTGAACAAGCACTGAGCAATGTTAACATTCTCTTGGATGGTGATGTCAAAGTAAGGGAAAACATGGGAACAGGGGATAGAGTTGTATTTTTCATAATACTTTCCAGTTTGATAAGTAGCTGCAAAATATTCAATAATATTGTATGCAAAGTGGCCCATTTAGTTTATTTTTTAATCATCTTTTTCTTATTGAATATAATTCTTCTTAGCACTAGATGTGATTACATTTAAGATATTTACTGAGAATTATTTTAGTTTATTGGCTCATAGACCCAGATGGGAGGTTTATTTTGTTATAATATTTTCAGTTCCTTTAAAATATTGTATTCAGCCAACATATGATGCTGTGTTTGGCAACGTACTTTAAGTCAGTTTGTTTCTGAGCTTTGCTAGTTTTCTCCAAGGCCAGTCATGTATAGGGGTTTGTATTTAAGTAGTGACTTTTTTTTTTTGCTGAAAACACTATTGCCAAATTCACATTACTAACATCACAAACTCCTTGTGTGCAGGTAGCTCATGAATGGCTATTGCCTGAGTCTAAGACTTAGCAAGTTGGCTATCGTTCCCAAAGGAAAAGACCAGAAAAATCATTTATCACTTTATCTTTTTCCTTATCAAGGATTGCGTCTCACAGAATGAGGCTTATCCCTGAGGCTGCTTGGAAATTGACAATTCGGGAAGAATCAATGGAGAGCTGCATTTTTGATGGATGAACCATTAGAAAATTCTACAGCATTTTTCCCATGACCTTTCCTGAAGACAGATGAATAGCCTTTCAAAGGTTGCATTTTATTTCATGTTCAAAGAAGAAAAAAAAAAAAGAAAGAAAGGAAAAAAGAAAACCTAGCCCGACAAGGAGTATTAAAAACAACACAGTCAAGTTAGGTTCTTTCCCAATGTAAAACACGTTAAGTAAAGGGAAAAGGAGGGTGGTGGTTAAAGGTATCCTATGGAAGAGAAAGAGTGATTAGCAAAGATCGCAGAAGCATCAGCATAACTTTAGGCAGTTCTCAGTTTCCTGGAAGACAACTTCTAACCAACACTCCCACTCTGTGAGTTATTTTCATACTTAATAAAACTAATTCAGTTACTGTCCTTCCGGGGCACAGCTCACATCAGACGTTTATCTATAGGGACATCTGTGACTTCATGGCCCATGCAGTATTACTAAGGAAAAAAAATAAATAGATCCAGAAGACAGCAACGGGCTGGCAATATGATGGATGGTATTTTAAAATATCAAGATGTAGATTATGGAAGGGCAGGCCAGACGAGAGGGATGGTGATAGCGGATGAGTCAGGAGGCATTTCCTAGAGCTCCTTAAGGGATTTGAATGTGGAAATGGAAAGAAAAATCTCTAAGAACCTAAATAATGATATAGGCAGCTCTAGAATGAGTGAATTCCCAGTTTGTGGGCCGTGAGAGATGTGTTGCCTGGGTGGGAAGGGCTGGTGGAGAGGGGGATAGGGCACCTGCCCACAGAGACGGTGGCTCAGACCATTCCTGTATTCTATCCTCACGTCTCTCCCATAGTCTGTCAGGTTAAAATATATTGAAATAGTCAAAATATAATTTTATGTAACTGAAAGTTTGACGTTTGGGTTTTGGTTTTATTTCTTTGTGTTACTTTTATAGAATTTAGGTAAGCAAGAAAAAAAAGATTAATGATTCTATTACTCGTGATTCTAAATCATGAAGTACATTTGTCACTTACAGCAATGCCTCCCTCCAGAATAGCACAGCCTCTGTTTATTGAGTGATTGCTATACTGTGTTAGCTACTTCACTGGCTGTGCCTTATCAATTCTCTAAACAATCTCAGGCTGAGTGAACTGTTATTTTGTCCACTTTATAATGTCAAGCAGAAACGATAACAATGACAAAAAGACTTTTTAAAAAACTCTCGGCCGGGCGCGGTGGCTCACGCCTGTAATCCCAGCACTTTGGGAGGCCGAGGCGGGCGGATCATGAGGTCAGGAGATCGAGACCATCCTGACTAACACAGTGAAACCCCATCTCTACTGAAAAAACAGAAAATTAGCCGGGCGTGGTGGTGGGCGCCTGTAGTCCCAGCTACTCGGGAGGCTGAGGCAGGAGAATGGCGTGAACCCGGGAGGCGGAGCTTGCAGTGAGCCAAGATCGCGCCACTGCACTCCAGCCTGGGCGACAGAGCGAGACTCCGTCTCAAAAAAAAAAAAAAAAAAAACTCTCAGGAGGTAAGTTGATAATATATTTTAGGTTCTAATTTCAAGAGATTTGCTATCAATTTTTTAAATATTTGTCACTTGTCTTGATAAATTCATCACCAGCAAATCACTACCAGCCACTTTTACGTTAAAGACGCTAGCTATGTCTACAAAATTCTAAAACATTCAACTGAAAAAAAAAAAATCAGTGAGCTTTCCAGTAATAAAATGAAACTCCCAAAATAAAAATTCTTAAGAACAATGAATATTTTTCCAATTGTGACACCAAACAAGTAAATATCTGTGACCTGCAGAAGCAGGGTCATGTTATTTAGGAACAAGTTAGTAGAATAGCATAAATTAGGGGCAAATTCTCCTCTAAGTATAGATAATCACCTTATTGATGTTTTCTCTGAGTCATTAACTCACTAAAACCCAATTTGGAAAATGAAAATATTTTCTAGAATTTCAGAGAGTAGATTCTGCAGATTTTAGATTATCACTCTTTCCATCTTTGTGAAATCCTCACTGAGTGTGGACTGAGTGAGGCACTGAGTAAAAAGAAGTAAAAATAAGACAGAAGGCATTGTACTTAAGGGACTCAAATCTAATTTAAAAATTGAGTTTACAATGGAACGTGCTACATCCATGTGATGTATACAAAATGCTTCTCACTGTGGGGGAAGATTGATGCTTACTTTACAGACTGACAGCACATTGAAATTTTCATACACTTAGGCTTCAAGAGATATTATTTTATTCTCTATGAATGTGGTTACAAATAAGATATGTAATAATCTTAAAATTTAAATTAATTGTGAAGTTAAGAATACCTGAAACTAGTCCTTTCTTCCATAGGGATACAATAGGAAAGAAGAAATTAAGGGTAAGTATGAGAGTTAGTGGGTTACATGTTCCAGGCTTGGGTTCAAATATAGTAGGGAAAGAATTAAGTCCTCCTCACTATTTAGAGATATTAACAATTCTATCACTTTCTTCACATAAAGGATGTCCCTGAAGAGACGGACAACTAGAAGTGGGAAAGAGGAAACGGTAGAAGTGTAGCGGAGCCCACGTGGACCTTCACATTGAGGAAGATATTAGATGGCCCGTGTGGACACCAGAGTCTCAGGGTCCCCTGGTCTCTTATTTAGACATCTGGTCAACATCCATTTAAAGGAGAAGGTGCAGGAGGGTGTGGGAGCGTGTACCAGCCTGCCCTTCTGTGAAAGACCTTCTGTTACTGTGGAGTAAGTTACTCAGGGCTCTCACCTCCCACTCCAGGTACCTATTGGAACAGTCCTTCCAGCAGCTCCTAACGTTTTCTTCCAGGACAGTTTGGGTGGACACGGTCTTCTGTGCTCATGAAATTTCTAGTGCTGAGTCACTGTCCCGACCTTTTCCCACCCCTTTACATTCACTCCCCAAGAAGCGACCCTGATGACCCGTCTTGAATCCACTTTTCCAGCCAGTGCTGTTACAAACAAGAATTGCACATATATACATATATGTGTACAATATATATGTATATATGTGTGTGCAATATATAAGTATATATGTGTGCAATATATATGTATATATATGTGCAATATGTATATGTGTGTGTATATATATATATTTGTATTTAGTGCATTTATTTATTTATTTATTTTTTATTCCCATAGGTTTTTGGGGAACAGGTGGTATTTGGTTATATGAGTAAGTTCTTCAGTGGTGATTTGTGAGATTCTGGTGCGCCCATCACCCAAGCCATATACATTGAACCCAATTTGTAGTCTTTAATCCCTCACCCCCTTCCCACCCTTTCCCCCTGAGTCCCCAAAGTCCATTGTATCATTTGTATGCCTTTGCATCCTCATAGCTCAGCTCCCACTTATGAGTGAAAACATATGATGTTTGGCTTTCCATTCCTGAGTTACTTCACTTAGAATAATAGTCTCCAATGTTATCCAAGTTGCTGTGAGTGCCATTAATTCATTCCTTTTTATGGCTCAGTAGTATTCCATCGTATGCACCACAGCTTCTTTACCCACTCATTGATGGATGGGCATTTGGGTTGATTCCACATTTTTGCAAAAAAAAATGCATATTTTGAAGCAACGTTTTCTAAAATTTAATTCTTGGAACTGTAATTTTACAAAAGCTCAATGTTTCCTTTTACAACATAATAAAGAAAAGTGTTTTGAAATAGTTGCATACCACTTTCTTCTTGGGTGTTTATAACATACATTAATGTATTCAGGAGTGTGAGAAGTCCTCCAGTAAAAACAGAATCTTTATTGGCTCTCTAATCATTGTTAGTTCCCGCTTTTTACACAGTTATAGGACCACAGAATAGTTTTCTCAAGGCATATCCTCAGCATGAGTTCCATGAATTACAGATTAAGAAATGCTGCATTAGACTGCTATGATGTAATAACATGCATACATCCTCACAAGAAATAAGTGACATTCTAAATAACTGGGGAAGCTGTATTCATAGTTTAGAGATATCCAAAAAGCAGTGAGACTATGAAATATTCAGATTTCTTTTGTTATTAGACACCCTTCTTCCAAGCCTTTAGTATTCTAAGATAACATGAACGCCCAATGCAATGTCCATCAGAGGTTGAATATGGGAATGAGTAACATACAGGCCTGACTGGGTCACTGGAGCTATTGGGGAGGTTACAAAATGGGAATAGCGGAGAACCCCCAACAGTCTGAAAGAAAAGATCAAGAGAAAAGTTTTAGGGATATCTTTAATTAGTTAAGGGGCAGTTAAGATGGGTTGCCTGTGGCAGGAGATAACTAGATGACCTCCCTGGGTCTTTGCACTCTGAGAGCGTCTATAATTAGCTGCAGCCAAGTTAAAACATTTTTTCAGTCCTGCTTCATGTAGTGTGACTGACAGCTTGGTTCCTTTGGGTAAATTCTATTTGGGGAAGATGATGAAAATCAAAGTAACTTGAATTAAGTGGGGAAAGTAGTGCACTTCCCCTTGAGCTCACTGAAAGGCCACTGCATGAGCTAAATTTCAGGTGCTGTTGCACGGGACGATGGCTAATCCTCATGTGTCATTGGAGGGCAAAATATAGTTTTATCCTTCTTGTGGTTTCATTTCCTTTGGAATTATAGGATATGTCAGGAGATTTCTGGGTGGGACTTAGAGGACAGTAAAAGGAAACCCATTAGCTCTCTGAGGACATGAAACATACATCCAGTAATCACTTTTAAGTACTACCCAGCAATCATATAATCATCCTGTCAAATAGCTCTTCCAATGAAACTAAAACATTGGAACATTTGCTGTTAAGAACAAATACTTAATGCACAGTGATCTGTAAAATACTTAACGGCACGTGTCCTTCTAGACCGCACGGCTCTTTGTGAGCAAACGGATCTCACTGTCTTCTCTCCACCGCTCTCCCAGCAAAATTCACTGAGCACTTGTCACATGCCCTCAAGCGATGCCTTTTCCTTCTTCCTCAAGGTACCTCTGCAGAGGGCATGACAAGTCTCATCATCCCAGACTAACAGGCAGGAACCTGCAAAAGTCAGGTAGCCCACAGTGGCAGGGTCAAGTGCTGCCTCCAGACCAGGAATGTTCTCTCCTGCTCTGTGGGGGCATCTCTCCTATCTTACCAAATACAACCTGGCAGAATAAATGCATCACACTCCTGTTTCTAGACCCCTGAGAGATGCTTCTTATTTGTCTCTGTTTGGCACAAAATAGCTCCCAAACCAAATCCCATAATATTAAAGGTAAAGTTTAGCCAATGGCTAATTTGTTTAATGGTTATATCTAATGTTGTTAAGAAAGCATAATATAAAACATTTGGAAACTCATAATAATTTTTTAAAAATCCAGAGAGAATATAGCATTGTTTTATCATGGCCAATTTGAGAAAGTTTTTTTTTTTTTTTTTTTTTTTTTGACAATCTCTGTTAGAGTTTGGATTGTTGAAGGGATTAATGGAGTATTTTATAGGCCAGTTTAAGATAAGGGATCATATTGAAAAAGAAGTAAAGGAAAGTGCCTGGTCCTGTTTAGGCAATATTCCTCTGCAAGCTGGTGTCAACGGTAGCTCCACGTCTCCATCACACCTTATTAGGAAAGCTGCAAAGCACGATTCACATTTAACTTCTAAACCAGAATTTGCTAATGCAAAGAAACAGAGCTGCTTGCTGTATGTTTTTCTTGTTTTCCTAAGTGTTTTGCATGAAATACTGTTAAAGATTAATTTGCCGGGAGCAGTGGCTCATGCATATAATCCTAACACTTTGGGAGGCTGAGGTAGGAGGATCACTTGAACCTGAGAGTTCGAGACCAGTCTGGACAACAGAGTGAGACCCCGTCTCTACAAAACATACATTAAAAAAAATTAGCTGAGCATAGTTGTATGTGCCTGTAGTCTCAGCTACTCAAGAGGCTGAGATGGGAGGATCACTTAAGCCCAGGAGATGGAGGCTGCAGTGAGCCATGATTAAACCACTGCACTCCAACCTGGATGACATAGCAAGAGCCTGCCAAAAATAATAATAATAATAATAAAGAGAGAGAGAGAGAGAGAGATTATTTTCACTGAATAACTACAGATAAATTTTTTCCGGTGGTGAAGGAGGCAGTCTAGTATGGTGGTTAGATCTCTGGGGTGTGACCTGGGTCAGCGTTCCTGCCCAAACACCAGTTAGCTGTCTTGGATGAACCAGGTCCTCAGCATCCTCACCCTCATCAGGAAGAACAATACAACTCCTCTGAAGACAAGCAGGACCATGTGCCACAGCCAGCTCTGTGAACACCCCACAAGATAAGTGGTCTCTGTAGTACTGTGAGGGCCACAGGACTGGTACTAGGATTGTGAGTAAGAGCACACCTTTCCAGGTGTCTGCTAGTTAAAAGGTCTTTCTATGGCAGTTGAATTCTTCTTCACAGAATCATCCTAACATTGTACAAATGGAACTGCATGCATGACATTTTATAGTTCTTTTCTTAAAAATGTATTCATGTTTAACCTATTTTAGAAAAATAAGGCCCATGCTACCATTCACTGTCCAATTGCTCTAATTTGTCTGTACTCCTTCTTAATGATGGAGACAGTTCTTGATGCTCTATTGGTTTTCAAAGTTTAATTCTCTCTACCCCAGTGATAGCTTCTTTGCTATGGTAAATAATTGTGTCTTTTGCCACAGAACTGTCTTCTTGGGTGTTTTTCTGTGTTTAGTTTTCCTAGTCTGACACCTCCATGCTCACCTTGAGAAAAGAATTTCAGGCAGCTGGCCAAACTACACACTGCTTGTCTATGTCAATATTTATGCTGCCGCTTCTCTGTGTCTACTGGAGTTTTTCTCCTTTGGAATTAATTATTATGCTCTTAAAGAAAAATTTTGGTTTGAAAAGATTGTTTTTATAAAAAATCTATACAGACTTTCTAATTTACCAAAGAATAATTACATAAATATTCTGAAAATATCAGAAGTGTTCTAATGAAAAAGGAGGAAATATGGGCTCAATTCCTGCCTCACTAGAATAAAAATTATTCAGTGGTTATCTTTTTTTTTGAAAAACAGAGACCTTGTTCACTCTTGCATGGAATTTGATGGGGCTGTGATCGTCATGCAGGTTGTGGTTACGGGGGCATCTCTTTCCTTTCCTCTGCAGGCCAGTCGTGGTCAGCCAGCACCTAAAGTGGACACAGAACAGGGGCGAGGACCTGCACAGAGCGGCTGTGGTATGTCATTCCTCGTGTCTTCAGGTGATCCTCTGTTAAATGGTGAAGTGACGTCCACTTCTGGATGCTGATGTGAGGGTCACATGAAGCAATTAGCATGACGCATGTCCCCAGTCATCGGGCCATCATCACCCTCATCCTTCAAAGCAACCCTTCATTTGCATCCGCTGTTTACAGAGTGCAGAGTTAGACACTGCGGAAAACACCAGCTAATAAACTCTTCATATGTTCTTTTTTTCTTTCAGGAGATGAGTTCTCCCTCTATCACCCAGGCTGGAGTGCAGTGTTTGATCATTGCTCACTGCAGCTTCCAGTTCTGGGCTCAAGTGAGTATCTTGCCTCAGCCTGCTGAGTAGCTGGGACTATAGGCATATGCCACCACACCTGGCTAATTTATTTTATTTTTTGTAGAGATGAAGTCTTCCTATGTTGCTCAGGTTGGTCTTGAACTCTTGGGTGGCACAGCAAGAGCCTGCCTCAAAAAAAAAAGAAAAAAAAGAGAGAGAGAGAGAGACAGAGAGAAAGAGATTTTTTTTTTTTCACTGAATAACTACAAATGAATTTTTTCCAGTCATGAGGGAGGCAGTCTGTATGGTGGTTACAGCTCTGGGGTGTGACCTGGGTCAGCATTCCTGCCCAAACACACATTAGCTGTCTTGAATGAACCAGGCCCTCAGCATCCTCACCCTCATCAGAAAGAACAATACAATTTCTCTGAAGACAAGCAGGACCATGTGCCACAGCCAGCTCTGTGAACATCCCACAAGATAAGTGGTCGCTGTAGTACTGTGAGGGCCATAGGACTGGTGCTAGGACTGTGAGTAAGAGAAAATCTCTCTCTCTCTCTCTCTCTTTTTTTTTTTTTTTTTTTTTTTTTTTTTGAGGCAGGCTCTTGCTGTGTCACCCAAGAGTTCAAGACCAGTCTGGGCAACATAGGAAGACTTCACCTCTACTAAAAATAAAATAAATCAGCCAGGTGTGGTGGCACACACCTATAGTCCCAGCTACTCAGCAGGGCTCAAGCAGTCCTCCCACCTCTGCCTCCTAAAGTGTTGGGATTGCAGGTGTGAGCCTTCCTATGTTCTTTAGTATGAGCTGCATAGGAAGTCATCATATGGGGTCACTGTTCATTCATGAGACAGCCGTGGCATCCCATCCTATTGACAATGCATTATCATTTTTACATCATTAGAGGAGTCCTCTTCAGACTTCAGACTCTGTCTTCCACATGGAAAACATGCTTCTATCTTCCACTTAAGATAAAGAGCTCTGTCTACAGAGAAGTCAACAGCTTGAGGGATTCATCTGCCTTAATCACTAATCTACTTCCAGGAGTCAAAACCTGTCTACACACACAAACACACACACACAGACACACACACACACAGGGCAAGTCAAGTGAAATTAATACCGTGTGTAAATTTTTAGCACATGGAAACAGTGTAGGTTTACAGAAAGACCGGACCCCTCTGCAAGGAATGTGAGAGGTAGAAATTAGAAGAATGTCATTTATATCCAAACAAATAACTGAAGTGATGAAGATGAATCTCTTTATTACACTTTCTTGGAATCTTTACATAGAACATGATTTTAATAGACTCCTGGTGCTGTTAGTCAATAACTAGTTTTCTTAGCCTGGTGCTGTTTTAGATTCAACTTGACCACAGAATTATGGGCAGTTAAACCACCATTTAGCGCTTAGGTGGCCAAATTCTTTCTGTTCAGACATTAATGCTCTTTACAAGTAAATACTATAGTCTTATTCATTCTTCATCTTTATGTTACTCAATTCCAAGTTTACTCTAATTTGTCTATCTGTTTGGAATAATTAAACTCCCAAAGGAACATAGATTTCACGCCCAAATATAACTCAATTACTAATCACAATGTAAAAAGCTTTCAGATTTAGAGATATAACCCTGAACAAACTCATAGAAGGAAAGAGAGAAATACTCAGGGGTGAATATTTCAGAAATAAAATATGTGCAGGGGAAAGTTAAACATTACAAAATGTGTGAATTTCTGAATTTCTGGCTCTAGTCAGTAGAGTGGAATTAAAGGCTGTGATGCGTGGTGTGAAAAATCCTAGGCTGATTTTTCTTTGTGATGGATGACGCTATGTTAATGACAAAGCCTCCATTTTAGCATACTAAGAACCTCACAACTGTCTCTCTGCTACTTCTGTTTCATCATCCCCCAAGCACACAAGACAAAGAAATAACTCAGGAAGCTGAACCCTTCCATGGAGCTCTTGGAGACGCCTGATGAGGCTGGAACCTCATTTACACTGGAGCAAGCTAAACAAGAGTGTCGTCAGTGGCTAAGCAGCAGCAAATTGCCTCTAGGATACGTATTATATAAATATAATCACAGAGGAATCAAAATCAAACACACACACAAAACAAGCTTTAAAAATGGTAAGCTATTTGGTTTTTGAGGAAAAAAAAATTGGTACATGCAGTGTTTTGCTACCCTCGGTAAACACCCAGTCTGGCTTCTGCCCTTAGCGTTTCCCCAAAACAGATCTTGCAAAGGTCACAAGTTCTCTCCATGTCACTAAATTAAAGAGGCATGTTGAGTTCTCATTCTCTTATATTTTCAGCAGCATTTGATGCAATTTGCGGCTTGCTCCTTTCTGAAATGCTTTCTTCCTGTGGTCTCTAGAATATCACATTTTTCTGGTTTCCTTATACCACCTCGAATAGTCTTCCTTAGACATGCTTTAAGACTTTTCATTTCTACATAAGCTTTATGTATTTATTTATTTTTGAGACAGAGTTTCATTCTGTCTCCAGGCTGGAGTACAGTGGCACGATCTTGGCTCACTGCAACCCCTGCCTCCCTGGTTCAAGCAATTCTCCTGCCTCAGCCTCCTGAGTAGCTGGGATTACAGAAGTGAGCCACCACGCCCAGCCTTCTGCATAAACTTTAAATGTTGAATTTCAATTAAGTTCATATTTGGGTTGAGGGTTTCAACTGCCATAAAATTGTTGATGCCTTCCCACTAGAGATTTCTGGCTTGTGGACCTGTGCTTTCAAGTGTTTATTAGACATTTCCCCTTAGATATCTCAAAGAATATTAAATTCAACAAGTCACAAATGGAACACTGGATTTCCATGCATTCACCTTGTGCCAGAACTACCCCCCTGTAAACTTCCATAGTTCAAGAAAGAGCACCTTCATCTACCTGCTTTCACCAGATGTTTGAGGAAACCTTGCCACTCAGTGCCAAGGTAGACCATGGCTATTCCTCCAAGCCTTCCCGCGAAGGACCTGTGAGCTATTAACAAGACAACTGTGCTTTGCGGAGTGGGAAATATTCATTTTCTCTAGGAGATATTAGATAATAGCTCTGATAGGAATGCAAATCCCTACAGACACAAAATATCATTGTGGCTTGCTGCCAAAGAGATGTTTAAAGCAGCAGGAGTTAGATGGGCTCACGGCATGAATCTATTTCACAGAAGGTCCTGTTGGGCCACTGGATTATCTTGTGGTTGTTTCCAAAGTCCTGGAGGCTGTAAATATATTTAACAATGGTCAGAATCCCAACAAGTCTTCTTACCATTGGAGTAAGGACTATTATGGTCAGAAGATCCCACATGGAAGTTCCTGGAAACTCCTTCCTCCTCAAATAATAAATACAGTTTCCTGGGACAGTAGCAGAGATTCATGCCTCCATCAAGATGTCAAGATGCAGAGGTAGGGATCCCTATTACACCCCCATTTAACTTGCTTGTTTGGCTAGTAGAAAAGCCAGATGGATCTCTCAGAATGACTTGGATTATCACAAACTTAATCAGTGGTGATAACAGTCACAGCTGCTGAGCCAGATGTGGTATCTTCATTGGAATAAATCAACATAGCCCCTGGCTGCCATGCACCCATTGATTGAGTAAATGCTTTCTATGTAATGCCCATCAATAAAGATAATCAGACACAGTTTACTTTCCTCTGCCAGGGAAGCCATAAACCTTGACTGTCGTATCACAGGGCTTTGCCCAACCTCTTGCTTTTTGATATAATGGAGTCTGGAGAAGTGCTGACACTCTAGATATCCTACAGAATCTCACAGAGCTTTATGATACTTCAGCTGAACAGACCTAAGAGGAGCCATTTACAAGCATCCTAATTGCCAGCAGAAAGGGATAATCTCTGTGGACATTCAGGTCCCTGGCAAGTTGGGGAAGCTTCCAGGGGCTCCCGTGTCTGGGAATATGGAGACTTCTCCTAAAAGTGAGAGGCCAGTTGGAAGGACATAGCCCCCAGTAGGTGTCTGTGGATTTTAGCACAACACACATGACCTTGGGATTTGCTGTGCTGAGATGATCTCCCAGCAGCCCTCTAGCTGGCCAATTTTGGAGCAAGAAGGCTCAGTGCAGCTGAAGGGAGGGTGAAAATTGTGTTGTCACTCAGACCTTATAACCCAGTAGGCTCAGTGACACAGAGACGTGTCTGTGGCAGAGAGAGATGTTTTTGGAGGTTGTAGGAAGCTCTGATAGGAGTATTACACATAAACTTAGAGATGTGGAGAAAGATGACGATACTCTGCATGTGAGAAGTGGCTCCTGGTTAGCTCCCAGACCCTGGTAGAGACTTATGTTCTGACCATGGGATGTCTGCAGTTATGTGACACAACCTGTCCCACTGGGCTTTATACGACCTGTTGAACCACAACATTGCACATGCAGAGAAACATTTCATTATCATGTGGGCATTGCATATGTGAGATGGGGGCTGAGCAGGCTCAGAAGGCACAGGTCAATCATCCAAGGTTGACTCCCATGGGACCTCCTTCTGCAGCTCTGCCGGTGATCCCTCAACCCATATTAAAAGGAGTCAAAGGGAGCTACCAGAGGAGGAGAAAGCACGGGCCTGGCCGACGATGCATCTACACCAGCCTGAGTGGATGGCCGCTGCATCCCAGTCCCCTGAGGAATGCTCCAGGTGTCAGTGGGCAGAATTTCCAGCATCATATCTGGTTGTCTGCTTCATGCAAGGAGAAATGGCCCCATGCTCATGTCTACTTTCATTCTGGGGTCATGGCTAGTTTGAGGATGGGTGACCAGGGTTCCTGGGGAGGAGGAATGAGGATGGACCTTTCAGAAACAGTTACAGAGAATAAAGCTACTGATATCTAACATAAACGTCAACCAGAGGGCACCCACTTCAGAGGAAATCCTCAACAATCAGTGAACAAATTGTCCTCTCCCATAACAGATCACTCACCTTTCCACATAGGAGCTCCATGAAGGCACAGGGCACCCTTGAAGTGTCCATGATGGCAGCACTGGGATCACCCTGATCTTAGCAACACGGGCTCCTTCACCAGCATGCTCTGGCTCTAGCCACCTCTGAGGGCCCAAGCTGCCCACGGAAGATGCCCATGATGAACCTTTGTCATGGCACCATTTTTCAGAGAAAACACTTGGCTGCATATTGGATATTGACTATATTAGAACTGCTTTACCATGCAGTGGGCAGTCATCTGTTCTTATGGGTATTCTAAATGTATATTTGCCATCCCTACCCATAAAACTTCTGCCAACACCTTCATTTGTGAACAATGAGTGGCTTATCCATTCACAGATTATCAGGGAGACCACGGCCTCAGATTAAGGAACTCATGTTTTCACAAAGGACAGAGGCAAAGGGTTTGCTGGTCTCCCCATCACTCGGAAGCAGCTGTCATGGTAGTAGGTAAAGCGTGATGAAGGCTAAATTATGGCACCAATTAGGAGACAATTCGCTTCACAGTTCAGGCTTCTCCTGGGAATATTGACATAGTTTTGCTGAGTCTGAAGCTAAGGCTGCCTCCTATCCAACATGGATTCCTCATTTCGCTGGACCATGGCACATAGTAGGAGGTCATCACACTACTGGGTGTGACTAACCTCAATCACTCAGGGGAAGTTGTGTTGGGGGACGCATCATGGAAACTCCGGGTTCATTGTGTTGCTACTGATCCCTCCTATGCCTCATCATTACTGACCAGTGGGAAACAATAGCAACTCAATAAATGCAGGGCCACTGAGTATTTGGAGTGTTTATTTGTAGGACTGAGGTAACCCTAGTCGGTAAAAACAAACAAAAAACCTCATGAGTCAAGGTGCTGTGGGAGAAGGACACAAGGAGGGTAGATTTGGGTCTCACTGAAGGAGGGTCTTAGCATCTGTATGGGGAGTTCGTCCCTCTCCCTGACACATTATTTTGTCTCTGCCACTCTCCATGAAGGGCTCTGGAGGTGGAGAAGATGACCATTTTTCTCCTTGTGGGACTATAATGAGATCGCCATCATCTCAGGAGGAGACACCGTGGTTGATGGGAAATGAGTTTTCCTGTGTTGGTATTTTTCCAACTAAAGGAAGAATAAGTTGGATACTAATTAGTAATAAGGACAATTTTGCCGGTGATCTTCTTCATGTTCCTCCAAATCCATTTCCCACTGCTTTCTGCTCTGTTCTGTGCTCTGAGACGTTTGCCTCCATGGGCTGTGTCTTCTTGGCCTCCTTGATGAACACAGCCTAAAACACGCATGGAAGGAGAGGGTGGGGGTGTTCATCCCACTCCCATCTCTCTGCTGGGCCATGGCCTGACAGTACTGGTGCCTTCATCCCCAGCCCTATAAACAGACCCTTCTCCGTGGCTGTGGCCATGAGTGGGTGCCATCAAAGCCCACAACAGGCTAAGGGGTCATGAAGTCTAGTGCTTGTCTTTGGTGCTTCCCTACCCCTGTTGGCTCTTTCAACAGTTCCTAAACCATTGTCAACATTCTTCTTATTCAGTTTCTCTAGGGGATATTAGATAATAGCTCTGATATTATCCTCCTTACCGTACTGTGGGTACTTTCTGTTTTCTGCCAGGACACTGATTGATACACTTCATAAATAGCTCCGGAATCTCTCTACTTTTCTGGTTCTTCATTATTATCAACTTAATCCAACATTAGTTTCAGCTTGACTCTTACTCCTGCTCCTAAGTGTGCATTCTACTCTGATCACCTTCCCACTCTAAACATGCTTTGTAGACAATCACAGCTTCCAAGCACCACTTCCTCTGGATGGGAGGTTATACAATATGCAGTGTCTCCTGGTAGTGTACACAGAGACGGTAACCTCTTTTTACCAACTTTGCATTTGGCTGACAGCTTGCTCTGGCCAGTGAAAGGCTAGAGGATGGACACTCGTAGAGGCTCCACGCATGCTTACATGGTTGGATCCAGCCACTTGCACTTATGCCATTCACATGAGAAGAGCCAGCCCTGGCTGGTGACAAAACAAGAGAAACATGGCATGGAGCATTCTACAGCCTAGAATAAAATCCAGCTGATTTCAGCAGAGGCATACTGGCTTTTCAAAGCGGATAACTAAAATTTACCCAATTCCCAGCAATTTAGGAGTACTTAAAGAACATGTTAACCTGTGTATAATATTCAAGGACTATTGTACAACAATGGTTGTGTAAGCATAGGATGGTTCCCTAACAAGGAAATCTGGTTTATGGGCATGCCAGTAAGTGAACAGGTTATAAATCATATATGTAATACAGAAAAGGCCACACTTAGAAAAAAAAATTGGAAAGATGAGATCAAAAATGCTAATAGCAATCACATTTTAATACTAAATAATATTTCAGAATTTCTTCATATTTGAAGCAACTTAACAGAGCAGAAAGACTGAGGACCCTAAAAATCATCCAGGCCTGGTCTTGAATCTTGGTTTGGCCAGTCATTAGCTGTGTGACTTTGGTGATTATTGAACTTCTCTGAGCTTCTGTTTTCTTATCCATTGTTATGTCTTTATCTTGCTTATCTCAAAAAACTATTGGATAGATTTAAGAGAAAACTCATATAAACACCAGCAATAAGTTGTCCTTTATTTTCTTCCAACATCACCTGCATTTTACAAATGTATATTTAAAAAGAAAAAAATAGAGGAAAAGATAGGAAGGAAAAGAGAAAAGAAGATGTTTCCTTGAATGAAGTAAATTCTTTCTAGGAGAGCCTAACTAGTGAACACCTTTGCAGGGATTATACCCTTTCTCTAAGCGATAAGAAAAATACGAATATTTTATTGAATTGGAAATCCAAGAGTGGCATCCATTAATCTACATTTAAAAAAAGCCCCCAGGTATTGTAATTAGCAATCAAATGTGGGCATCACTGATCCAAACTTCATAAGAAATGCCGTATTATTACAGGAAGTTTTAAGGCAGATTCAGCAGTAAGTCCTGGAAGTTGGTTTGAGTGCATGAGGCTGGCTGTAGTATTTTAATTCATCTCAAGTTGCTTAGAAACTTCTAAGAAAGCAGGCTAATCTTGTCTGCATATCCATTTGTGAAAACGAAGACAAAAGTGAAAAGAAGATTAAATCAAGAATGAATTCAAAGGGCTAGAATACCCAATCTATCCTGTTTAAAAAACAAAACCAAAAACCAGATGGGGCAAGTTGGGCTCTTTTCCTGAAAGCTGCCACTTGTGTTTTAAATTTTCTGTTCTCTTTATATAGACAGACAAATATGTTGCTGTGTAAGACACCTATCAGTGGGATAACCAGTTTTCTGATAACTAAAGCTTCAGTAGCCACAGGGTACCCTATTAAATGAGTTCTGGATGAAGACATCTGACCCACACCAAGGAGGGTGTCCACAACCAGCAATCACTCTGCCCGGTGCCACCCCATACTCAATAGGGTGTGCTGCCTCTATGGAAGGTAGAGTGCCAGCGAGGGCTTCGGGATCGCTCACAGGAAACGGGGAAGGGAGCACGTGCCAGGCATACACATGGTGTCCTCAGAGGGACCTGGCTTGCCAGGCAGGATGGCACAGAGGCAGGCAAGCAGAGACCAGCACTGTCCATTGCCTGTGACAAGGGGTGACCACACAGACCTCCTGAAGCACAACCCCAGCACGCAGCAGGTGCAACCACCTGCCGTGCAGCAAGAAAATGTGGGTGATTCCTGGAGAAAAGAGAAAATCCTCCCATGAGCCAGAGACTAATCTTGTGAGCAGCAGGTTTTTGAGATGTTAGCTCTTTGGATGGGTTTAGCTCTGTGAGTCCCTATCTGTTGGAAGGTCAGAATTCCTCCAGCCCTCTAAGAGGCACTGTGGAATGCTAAGCAGAATGTGACTAAAGGGAGGCGGTGTGAGTGAGGTCTAGCGCTTCATATTAACTGGCTTTCAGTAAGCCTGTTACATTGAAAATATTATTAAAGGGAAGGATTTCATTCCTAATGCTTCTAACTAAAATTGCCCGAAGACTTCTTTAAACACTATGACTTTAATAATAAAATAAGTATCTGAGAAATGTGATGAGTTTCTTACATATGGCTTAGAGGTCGCAAAGATAATCAGATTTCTAGTCACTCAAATTTGCCATTGCAATGGGTAAACTGCCTTTTGTGGATGATTTTAAGAATGAAAATCACAAGGATAAATTCAGTGGTTTGAGATAATAACGACCTCTTGAGAGATATTTATCTACGGAAGCCCTTCTTAGTCACAGTCTGTAGGCTCTATCACTCATGGATAAGCCAAGAGTATTCTAATCTGTCAGAGCCTCTTTGGAGCTAAAATTTCTGTTGTTCAGAAAGCTGCTTTTTAAGAGAGACACGAAGCCTTTTGATTCCTCATTTGAGAGAATTATTGTTCTCTCTGGCTTGTGTTGCAACTCCCTTGAAGACAAAGGTTGCTGTGACATTTCTTATCACCTTTGCCTCTTGTGAATATTTATCTTCAGTTTTAAGGAAACATTGAAGCCTCTCTGCAGAGTATTCTGACCTCGAAAAGCCTTCCCAGCCAGGCTTTAATCTTCTTGCAGCCGAGCGGGCTGAGTGACTAAGAGTTGGCCACATTTCATTTCCTTGCCCCTCATCTATTTGCTGTCTTCTCAAATGAAAATAAGCTTTACTAATTATTTAAAACATCACCCCAGACACAAAAACACAGGCTACTTGGGCCAAATACCTGACTTAAAAAAAATAAAAAGGAAAGTGAGCACTGACCAGAGGAAGCCTGCTTCAAGCTTCCATTAGGCTGGGTCTGCCTCGGGCCATGAAAGGTCAAAGCATTTATTTAAGTAATTTAGGATTGAGGCACGAAGAGCTTTTGAGCTGTCGTTCTGATTGTGCAGACAACTACTTCAGAAAATCACCTAACTCTTAATTTTTGATTGTAGACAAAATATGTGAGTTTGGAGGAAAAGTAATGTATTGCTGATGAACTCTGAAAATTCTGCATTTTCATCTTTGTCAACCAGAATGGTGAGATTATCAAGTTGACCTCAGTATTTTGTTGCCACTTCTTTCTACTCTGGGAAAACAACACACGATATCTGTCTCCCTGGAGGGCAAGGGCAGCCTCCCCCATGGTCCTAAGAGCATAAGCCCTGGTCTCTGTGGCTGTCAGCACCAAGTCCAGAGTGGAGGCATGTGTGGCCTGCAAGAGATGCATCATAACTCCAGCATGAGGAGTTTTGAGCTCCAACACAGACTTGCCACAATCTGCTCCACGGCGATTCATGCCTCTCTTGCAGTTCATGCCTCCTCGAGGTTCATCCTGTCCTCGTGGAGCTGTTCAGAGTTGAACTGAAGCAACACACCAAGCACCTGTAGCTTTGGACTGCAGGGAGCTGTCCACAGAGGCCATTTTCTTCTTCTCCTTCCAGGACACACACATGCTAGGATTTCTGTGGTGTGTTCATGTCAATCGTAAGATGAGCCATCTCACTAACAAGCATTCATCGAGTGCCTTCTATGACTGCCAGGCACAGCATGGTCCGCTAGAGTTACTACATTTGCTGGGTTCCAAGTTCGTGGTCTGGTAGTGGGAGAGATCATTAGGCAAAAAGACGATGGTGTCAACAGGCAAGAAAGTTGATGCCCAGCATTTTATTCATTAGCACCCTGCCTTCTCCTCTGCCTAAGAGCGATTTCCTTTCTCTAGAATTCATTTAAATCAGGCACACAAACCAAGCCTGACTTTCTTTGCAAATTACACGGCCTGCTCATCTTTGTCTTGCCTCATGGATTACACATGTGATATTTGCTACACCTTGGTGTACAGGGAGGTTTTTAAATACATGAAACAAGTGCATTTTCCATGTGTAAAGTGCCATTGCTCATAGCACGACAAAGTTGCATAAATGAGTGAATGAAGGCATTGCTGACCAACATTTTGGATCCTCTTTAAATGATGGTAAAAACAAGTTCAAAATTATTATTCTCACCCATTACTTTATCTAATAGAAACTAAATTTTTGGTGTCAATTTTCTGAACAAGAGTATTACTTTGTTTCACATCTTTATCAATATAGCCATTTATTTTCTAATCATTTTGAAATTATGCATTTTCTGTATATGAATTTTATCTTTAAGAGCTTAATATATTTCTAAAGCAAGGGAAATTCTATGATTTGCTTTACATGAATGAGGGAAGCTTTGTGTAGAGGAAGCAAAGTCTCACTGAGGTTCCCAGACTGGCTCCATGATCTGTAAAGCTCTTTAATCCAAGACTGGCTCCATGATCTGTAAAAAGCTCCTTCAGTCCTGGCTTCTTTACAGGTAGAATGGAAGAACAAAGCCCCACCTGCCCAAAGACCTCACATATTTCTCTGAGAATAAAAAAAAAAAAAAAAGATGAGAATGCTTGGAAAAGTAGAGAACTGCCCAGCTATCAATTATTACTATTTGCCAATAAAATTCATGTGGAGAGGACATTCATCAATTGCATGCCATAGATACAGATTTCGGTTTTCTATACATGAACGTGACCCTGCAATTGTGTATTATTACTTCTGCTATAGAACTGTGTTGCATGTATTCTAGAGGTAGAATTATTTCTGAGATAAATAACAGAACAAATATATTCCAAAGGCAATGGTAATAAGGACACAATATTTTTAGAACAACTGAGCAACTCTTCTCACTTTTAAAAATGAGCAAACTCTTTACTAGAGTTCTGTTTATCCAGTGACACACGTCAAGAGGAGCTACTTGCCTTGCCCTCAGGGACCTCAACAGAGATGGATTCTATTCCTGCTTCTGGCTAATAGGAAGATGTCAACAAAATTGAATTCCAATTGGCTTTCCTCATGTTAGCTACAAAAAAAATGCATTCAACACAGACCATAACACTTGGGCAACCATTCATTCAACAAATATTGACGGTCAAGTATATTCCAGCTTGAATTTGGGAACTAGGCATTCAAAAATAACATTCACACAGCCTTTGCCCTCCAGGAAGTCTCTGTCTAAAGTTGAAAAGATGATGAATAAGATGTAAATGAGTCATAAAGGTGCAGTGCATCAGATATTCCGAGCAAGTATGGAGAGAGCAGTGGGTGGGCACAGCAAAGACAGTGTGGTTTGTGCTCCCTGAATCTTGATAAAATCTGTCAAGGAAGGGAGACACCACGCCTGGAAAAGAAGGGAGAGGAGGATGTGCGGACTGGGGGAGCAGCGTGCGGGATGTTTGGAGAATGATCCACGTTCAGAAATGGGGCTGGGGCTGGAGAGGACCTGGCGGGAGCTTGCCTTGTGGACGGGGCAGCCTTGTGGATGATGGGCAAGGGTTGCTAGGCAGGCTGATGGAGCTGGAATGTGGGCCTACCATTCATTCTACCGTGTTGTGAAAATGGGGCCACGAACAGATGGATTCACCCCGTGAGAGCTCACGTTAGGAAACTAACTTCCTCTGGAGTCTGCCGAATAGGCCGAGCCCTAGGATCTGTTGTGATAGACCACACCACAAAAGAGGGGTAAAGAGAGGTCAGATAGGCAGGGGGTGAGCACACCTGGACTCCGGACTGGACTGATATGACGACCCAAAACCTGGCTCAACCCTCCACAAGACCATAAACAAGTTATTAGAATGCTCTATGCCTCCGTTTTCTCACCTGTAAGTGGGGATAACAATAGATATTGTCATAATTCAATTAGTAATTTATTAATTAACTATCAATTTCATAAATTAATTTGTAATTTGCTTAGCAGTATGTAAGTTAGTAAATTAAAAAAAAAAAAACCCACTAATCAGTGTCTGAAACACCAGGTGCTTTTTATATACTGAATTGTGTCACTTCCAAAATTTATATGTGAGAAGCCCTAAACCCCAATGTAACTGGAGTTAGGTAATTTAGGGAGGTAATTAAGGTTAATTGAGCCGTAAGGTGGGGCCATAATCTGATAGAACAAGTACTCTTATAAGAAGAGAAAGAGACATCGGAGATCTCTCTGTCTCTCTCTCTCTCCTTGCACACAGGCAAATGGCCTTTTGAATTCACAGGGAGAAGGTGGCTGTCTGCAACCCAAAGGAAGAGGCCCTACCAGATACTAACTCTGACAGCATCTTGAGCATGGACTTCTAGCTTCCAGACTGTGACACACTAAGTTTCTATTGTTTGAGCCACCCAGGTTGAGCCATTTTGTTTTGGCAACCCTAGCATTCTAGGACAGCACCATATAAGTTGTATCTACTATTATTACTAAGACAGTCAGAACAGAAATAGAGAAGACAGGCTGAGTTTGAAGAACAACTCCGCCATCCCAAAATTCAGGATTTTTATGTCGAAGATCGGTGTTGTTGGAAACTGGTCCTACAACTGTTTGATCATTTATCAGTTATGTGACCTCAGGAAAGTCAATGGAGCCCCAGTCTCAGTACATTCATTAATAAAGTGGGGCCAACACAGGAGGCGGCCTTCAATGATCCTTCAGCTCCTTCTCACATCAGACAGCATATCTTCTACATCTACTTACATACTGTTTACAAAACACATCTATTAAATCTTTATTTTTCTAAAAAGTTATTGGTATTTGTTGTATCTGTTACAAATCTTAGCCACTAGCCTACCATGTAGTAAGCCAGAACAATTGAATAAATGTTTTGCTGCCATAATTCTTATTTTTATGGAAATAATTCTGAATGTCTTATCACCCACTGAAATAATAAGATTCATCACATTTTCATAATTAAGATATTTTGAGGTTATTGCAGGGAGCTGATAGCCAATAAATTCACCCAATTCTTGAGACTTTTATCCAAACTCTATAGAAGTCTATTCATTCAAAATTTTATTTCTTAAAAATTCAACTCTCTGGTGGACATTATTTTATGTAGTTGCTATCACTTCTGTGGACTTCTCAACAAGCATCGCCTATGACTTTAGAATGCAACAGTTTGTGTAACAGGTATGTGAACTTTCTTGAGTGGCTTTAAGCCATGGGGAAATTGGGTTGGATGTAAATTACTCCCAGATATAACTAATAAATCAATGGCAGCATTTCAGAAAACTGTTCAAAATTCAATCTTTTCTCACTTGGCCTTTAACCTCTTCCTCCCCCATCTTCACCCCTGCGGAGTGAGTTTGAGTTTTCTTGGTAAGCCATCCTTGTAGATGATATTGTTAGCATGAAGCATCACAGTGGAATTCTCAGCTCAAATTATTGAGTCAGGCTGGTCAATTTCAAAATACTTTAGAGCTGTTTAGCCCTTAATGCTGCCCTGAGAAGGCATCTCTTCCTTGGCAACACTCCCTGTCACCAGGTCTTACCTGAATCACTCTAGTGATGTTACTACACATGACTGGGGGCTCCACAGCACGTCTTCTCCCTCTTCTAGATAACACCGCTTAAAATAGCTGAGGACAACATGTGTACTCTGATCATCTCTTTTTCTTTTTTTAGAAGAAGTATCCCTCTGCTGTCAGGCTAGAGTGCAATGGTGCAATCTCAGCTCACTGCAACCTCTACCTCCCAGGTTCAAACGATTCTTCTGCCTCAGCCTCCCGAGTAGCTGGGACTACAGCTGTGTGCCACCATGCCCGGCTAATTTTTGTAGTTTTAGTAGAGTTGGGAGTTTCACTGTGTTGGCCAGGATGGTCTTGATCTCTTGACCTCGTGATCCACCTGCTTTGGCCTCCCAAAGTACTGGGATTATAGGCGTAAGCCACCATGCTTGGCCGATCCTTTCTTTCCTAAACCAAAGATGCCCAGTTTTTTCACCTATTTGTCTAATGAGTTGATTTATAGATTCTTTTAGCCATCCTAGCATTTAAAAAGTATACTTTAAAATATACTAGGATTTCTTTTGAAATGCAGTCTGTTTATTAAGAATATCCAACACAAATGATAAAAAATCCAGCTTAAATTGATAGAAGCACATAAAAGCAAAACAAACAAAAAAACCTGGGTAGGAGATAGATAGATGTAGAAGCTACCAATTTCAGGAGTAGAATTGTTTTCAGTCACAACTGACTCTAAGGGCTCAAATGGTGTTACTGGGAATAGATCAATCTTCCTATCTCTTTCTTCTGAGTAGATTAGTTCTTTGGTCTGATATCCTAGTAGAGAGACGGCTACCAGAAGATTCAGACAGTCACTTGGCAGCCCCATGAGAGAATGCTCATCCCCTGATTGTCCCTGCGAAAGCCATGATAGTTAGTAGAATAGCAATGGGTTGTACCATATGCCCAAGAGAATGAGCTCTTAGTTACATGCAGAGTCTTGGAAGTAAGCTGGAATTAGACATGTCCAAAGCCCATGGAGCAAGGGTGAAGAAGCAGCAGCTCTGACTGCCAGCAAAGGGAGGGATGAAGGCTAAAAAGGCAAAAGCAATGCATGTCTACCAAATCTAGCATCCTCTTTAAACACTCATCCTAACACATATGTGATAGGGAAGTGTTAACGATACCCAGGGAGGTAGTGACTTTTACAGAATTTGAATCCCACTAATCTCAATTCCTTTGTAGTCATCAAAAACCCTATATTGGCAAAGAACAAACCCCTCATATCCCTTTGTTTGGAAATAATCACATACAACTCATAAATAATAAAAATGGCAAACCTAGAAGGAGCATGAAGAAGCTGCTGTCATCTAGGTCTCTGTGTCATTTTTAAATCCTAATTTAGAGGCTTTAAAAGGCTGTTTTGAGGCCTTGGTGGATCACTTGAGGTCAGGAGTTTGAGACCAGCCTGACCAACATGATGAAACCCTATCTCTACTAATAATACAAAAATTAGCAGGGTGTGGTGGCGCGCCAGCAATCCCAGCTACTCCGGAGGCTGAGGCAGGAGAATCACTTGAACCCAGGAGGGGGAGGTTGCAGTGAGCTGAGATTGCACCACTGCATTGCAGCCTGAAAAACAGAACGAGACCATGTCTCAGGAAAAACAAAAAAGAGGCTGAATTGTATGATCTATTTCACTTCTCCTGGCTTTTTAAGCATCTCCTCCTGTGCTTACCCAGACTCTCTCCTGCTGCAGTTCAAGAAGGAGGTTTGGTCCTTTGCATGGCATCACAACGTCCAACTTCTTCTCTAAAATATTTTAGATACTAGAAATAACAACCCCGTCTTTACCTCTTTACCTCCCAGGTTTAACCATAATCAGTCATCATATTTAATTATACTTTATCTACTTTTTTAGTTTTTAATGTTTTCCTTCTTTTCTGGACCCTGTCAATGTTCTTCAAACTTTTCTCCCCTTCACATGGGAGGACACAATGATTTCCAATGGTTTTCTCCAGGTGAGGTATCATGGAAAAGTTAGTTTGCATCCATCTACGTGTATCATTCTTGATATTTCCAGATAGCAAGGCCATGAAGACATGGGCCATGAAGAAGAGGAAAATGAAAGGTACCCAAATATCAACCTCTATGGACCAAGACAAAACACAAGGGGAGACGGTGCATTCTGGGCATGCAGATAGTGCAGCAACTCTGTAGATCTTGAGCAACAGTGAGCCATTTACCATATTCTAAACACTGAATCATTCTCAGTATATTCAATCAGAATTTGCAATAACAGAGATTGAGACTACATTGTACCGACCTTCCTAGTACCTATAATCAAAGCACTTGCTAAGTAAACAAAAACTTCTAAGCCAGGAAAATGTTTTAACTATTTAGAGAACAAACTGTTTGTTAGTACACAATACCTTAGATAACCCATTTAGAAATAATTTAAAGTCTATGTAGAAATAAGCTGAGCCTTTTCTTAAAACAGGAACCTTTTTTTCCCAGGTATTAGAATTCATCCCTGGTCAGATCTTAAGCTGGTGTACCCGGGGACAGAGTTTTTCATCCAAGCAGCTTCCAAAAATACAGTTTTTCTACCAAGGGGGCTACTCCTGGCATACCATTCAGAGCTGAACCTCTCCAGGCTCCTAAAAGAAGTTCAGGAGCCTTGTTAGATGGTGATGAATTGACCTGTCAAAGTTCCACGACAACAGATGATAAGTCACTCTGACACCAATGCCCCAGTGAACAGCAGGATATTGAAAGTAACATTCATCTCTGAATTTCCTGAGCCTTTATTTTCCTTCACTTCTTTCTTTCTATCTCACCTCTCCCTCTTACCCTTTGTTTTCTGTCTTTAGTTTATTTCTTGAACTATTTTCTCTGAAATACCTTTAAGCCTAATAACATGGAACAGAAGTGAGTACAATATCCATTCTATGTATTGAATTACATTTTACATCAGCTGCTCTTATTTTAAACTTCAGCTGAATTTCATATCTAAGTACAATTTTAAAAAGTGTGTGCATTTATATCTTTGTTAATTTTTATTTTGTGGATCGGTAATTTTTGGGGGTAAGTACATTCATTCAAAGCACCACCATCCCTTGTTAACACTGGTTACATTAGAGAGTAGGGCTGAAAACAGCAAAATAAATTTAAATAACTTATCATTCAAGCCTCAAATAAACTCAGTCTGACCACTGTCCATGTTGACCTCTAATTGTATGATCAATTTAATGGAAGATGCAGAAAAATTGATCTGATCATTAAAAATTTCCCCTAAGGCAATAGAAAACCAACCCAATACTACCCAAGGAGGGACTGAGTCTAAGAGAAAACAATGGCTGAAGGTTAGAACACATTTTCAAATGTTTTTGAAGCTACAAAACTCTTTCTTTCACATCAATCTTACCAAAAAGTGTAATATCTAAATTACGTGACAGGGGTCATGCTGATGGGCCCTGGAACCCAGCCAGCTCCTCCTCTCCCCGCAACCTGTCCCCTTCTACATGTATGCAGACCCCGAAATATCCCCCAGGCCCACCGTGGAGCACCTGAGAGCCCTGGAGCATAGTTTGTAAATGATCTCCTTTGAGTGAGTTGGTTTGAGGTTAAGCCTGATGAAGTCGGGAAAATTCCGTTGAGCCTGAGTTTTGCCCTCACAGCATCCGTGTGGTGGACCAAGGCAGAGTTTTCAACTGCAAAAAGCTCACTATGGCCAGTAGTGAACAATGGACATTGGGGCACACTTCCCAACAAGTACGGTTTGCTACATCCTAGGGCCTTGAAAACTGCACTACAGTACATACTTGAAGTGATACTGGGCACGTATTAGCAATACGACATTTTAAGAGATATTGATCTCAAGTTTCTTTTCAAGGGAACTTTCTGGCTTTTTCCATTGAAAGACAGCATCTCTTGCTACTGATATTTTCTTTTCTTTTTCATATATTTTTAGTGGTATGTGTCCCTGATTCACCCTTTACTCCAATATACAGATGCAGACAGAGACACCAGGATGCACGCATCGTAGTCTGTGGTAGTCCAGCCTGGGTGTCTGCTTTCAGTCTGTGACTAAACACCACAAACTATATAGAACAAAAATATTCAATCAGTCAGGGTTTTATGTCACTCTCTGTTGCAGCTGTGAGTTTTTAACGATACCCAAGGAAGGGCTTGCTCCAGGCAGTGCCATTTCCACTAGCCCCCACCCCACTTTGTCCTTGACCTTGACCTTCGTGGCCATGGCCCACCTGCACCCACTGCTTGCTTCTCTACCTGGCCATCAAGTCACCATCCTTGGCCATTGGGAATGATGCATAACCATAGCCACCCCACCCAATCCGGTGTCCTTGATTCTGTCCCTGCAGCGTCTCGCAATGGATGGTGCCCCTGGTTTCTGTCTGTCTTAGCTTCACCTGTCCACAGCAGCTCTAAGCTCTGCCTGCACAGGACACACCTGTCATCTAGAATCCCATCATTCCTAGCCTTTGCTCTTTAGCCTTCTCTTTCAGTTTCATCCAGAATTAGCTGTGGCCTAAGCACCCTAGCCCTCCCTAGGTGTCACCACTATCACCGATTGGCTGGAGGGATTACAAAGCATATGCCAGGAGATTACATTAAATTTGCAGAAACTTGCCTCAAGGAATTGACTTTTATTTTCAGTTAGAAACAACTAATGTCAGTCCTCCAGTTGTCAAAAGAAAAACTGGTTCAAACCATGCCACTTGCTGTTGTCAAAATAACGAATGCCAAGAGTATTTTGAAGTTTTGCAGAGACAGTCATTGTCCTCAAATGTGTATTTAGCTGCCCCACCCAGACCAAAAGAACACCCATTAATGTGTGATGGGAGAGGATCTGGTTCTATCAGGTAAACACCGGGTGCATGCGTTACTGAATTGTACTGAGTTATTGAAATTCTGTTGCGCCATATAATTATGTTGTTAACATTGCCGGTCACACCTATAGCTGGAAATGACTGTACGCAAATCATGTTTTCCAGAAACACAAACTTTGTGAGTTATGGAGGAAAAAAATCTCCATGAATTAAAGAAATCCACTTAAGATTTTCTCTTTTTTTATTCCTTAAAATATATTAAGAGGCAAAAAAGATCTGAATTGAATATCACGACGTGTTTTATTCAACAGAAAATGCAAACACATTTTTTCTTTAATTTTGCCAATATATGGAGACAATCACTTTAACTGGTGGCAACCAGTCTGTTTACAGATTTTGGTTTCAATTGGTCTCTCGGGATTCCATGGAATTAAGTTTCAGAAACTTTACCTCAATTCTTGCTGGGTACAATCGAGGCCGATGCAGTTTCCTTTATCTTAACCAGATACTACCCTTGCTCTCAGTGTTCTGGGACCAAAATGTTGCCGTCCACTGGAGGCAGCTGAGGCTGTGTGTTAATATGCAGACCGTGACTGCCTCGCCGGTGAGACAGAGCACGGAGGATCAATACGTCTCTGCACATCAGCTCTGCACACCCACGGGAAGCAGCCGCCTGCCTGCTGTGTGACCTGCGGGCTTCTTGGTTTCATTCCCTTGTCACGGCCTCTTGCTCCAAGACACGCTTTTCATTTTGTGTGTTCCCTGCCCCTTCTGCAAATGAAAGAGCCAGTAGAAAAGATCAAATGCTTCACTGCTGTGTGGCACTACCTGAGTCATGGCTGGCAGAGACGCAGCCCAGGGCAGAGCTGTTCAGAGCCACCCCTGCGCCACAGCTGACCACTGATGCCACCGTGAAAATGCGGGGCCGGGTCTCAAATCAGAACTCGGAGCCAAGGAGAAGGAAAGGAAAAGAGAGGTGCTATTAGGTGGGGAAGAAGGGACTGTTTATCTGTTGCTTTGTGTCTGTTCTCTTAACTCTATTACTATTATTAGTGTTAATGTGATTAGCCCTCTGTACTTGTTTGGATGAAGCTGCAGAGATGTTATGGGTAACAGCAACAGGCAGTCACACTTGCTAATCGCAGCCGCCTGGGCTCACACCCCAATCTCTTAATTATAGGCCTAGTCTGTAAGAGACAAAAGCCTGTTCCACTGCAGAACCCACATGCTTGACATTTTGCCGCTGAGGATGCTCTCTTTATTTCTCTCTTCCTTTCTGAGTTCAGGCCTCCTTAATTGCAGTTTTCCTAAAATTTTTCACATGTTAAGATCCTTCTTATGTAAAGGTTACAAATGGAAAGCACCTTGTGATTTTTCCAGTGGGCTGTCATCCTAACTTAAAGTTTAGAGAAAATCAAATCAAGAGGATGGCAATTAGTGGAAGCTTGTGACTTGCAGCCTTCCCCCTCCACTCCTGAGTTCTTAATAGCATTTTCCCTGGGTGGCGGTGGCCTGCAGACTCATCAATGACTCAGGGAATGGCATAAGCACTTTTTAGCCTGCCCTGCTGAAACCCACCGCAATCTCCTTTGTTAATTGCTGAAAACTTCTGTGATGGCATTATTATTATTATTATTATTATTTTATTATTATTGTACTTTAAGTTTTAGGGTACATGTGCACAATGTGCAGGTTTGTTACATACGTATACATGTGTCAAGTTGGTGTGCTGCACCCATCAACTCGTCATTTAGCATTAGGTATATCTCCTAATGCTATCCCTCCCCGCTGCCCCCACCCCACAACAGTCCCCGGAGTGTGATGTTCCCCTTCCTGTGTCCATGTGTTCTCACTGTTCCTGTGTCCATGTGTTCTCACCTATGAGTGAGAACATGCGGTGTTTGGTTTTTTGTCCTTGTGATAGTTTGTTGAGAATGATGGTTTCCAGTTTCATCCATGTCCCTACAAAGGACATGAACTCTTCATTTTTTATGGTTGCATAGTATTCCATGGTGTATATGTGCCACATTTTCTTAACCCAGTCTATCGTTGTTGGACATTTGGGTTGGTTCCAAGTCTTTGCTATTGTGAATAGTGTCGTAATAAACATACGTGTGCAGACCTGCAGCTGAGGGTCCTGTCTGTTAGAAGGAGAATGAACAAACAGAAAGGACAACCACACCAAAAACCCTTCTGTACGTCACCATCATCAAAGACCAAAAATAGATTTTTTTTAAATTAAAGGCAAGAAATATAAAGATGGTATTTTTAAAATGGCATTAAATTAGGTGGCATTAATTTATCACATCTTCTGCCCCGATGTGATTTTGATGGCGTGAACATCAGGCTGCTGTGTACAAGGAGAGTGGCTGCTTTCAGGGCTCATGGTCTCCAGGGACATTCGCAGGAAAATCTATTCAGACAGAAGATATTGTGTCAGGAGCAGCCAGGTCGCAAGGCAGCCACGTCCTTGGCCTTCTCGGGGATTTAACATGTTAACACAGGCTGGATCCTGCGATAGCAAAGCTGCAATTGCTGGTGACAGGGATGAAGACCTCTGAGCTCACTCAGAATTCCTGGCAAACAAATCAAGAGCTGTGTGCATCGCCTGGGAGGTGTCACGCATTCAGGGACACCATTAAGTTGTTTCTAAACTCTGCCTCTTGATAAATCCCCAGTGGCTTCTTGAATTGAGTTCTTAAAGTACTAACATCTTAAGTGAACCTCAAACAATAACAACAGTGGACTATGGCAGAGGGCATTATATATCACTTTAATTTATTCCTAACTATGCACATACAGTTGATATTTTGAGGTCATTTACAATGTTTCCACATTCATCACCAGTAACATAGGGCTGACACTGTTAGGTGGGTCATGGAACAGCTTATCGTAAATTATTACTCCTATTTACCTACTTACACATTCACTGAAGAATAGAATTTAGTATATATGGTAGATCTATCTCAGACCTTGTTCAAAGATACTCATGCCTCAAATACAGCCTTTGAGCACCTGCTATGTGCTGTGTGTGAGAAGCTGTTCCAGCGTCGTGGGTCTGCCCAGGGCTTGAAATTCAATTTTTTGTGATTGTCCTGGGTTGGGCTCTCTGGTAGCCAACACTGAGACAAGGTGTGTATTAGGCATCAAGATACAAGGTGTGTAATGGGGTGCACATTGGGGTGCAAGGTGTGTAATGGTGCACATTTGGGTGTAAGGTGGATAATGGTGCACATTTGGGGCGTAAGGTGTGTAACGGTGTACATTGGGGTGTAAGGTGTGTAATGGGGTGCCCATTTGGGGTGTAAGGTGGATAATGCACATTTGGGGTGTAAGGTGTGTAATGGTGAACTTTGGGATGTAAAGTGTGTAATGGCTGCACATTTGGGGGTGTAAGGTGGATAACGGTGCACATTTGGGGTGTAGGGTTTGTAACGGTGCATATTGGGGTGCAAGGTGTGTAATGGGGTGCACATTTGGGATGTAAGGTGTGTAACGGTGCACATTGGAGTGTAAGGTGTGTAATGGGGTGCACATTTGGGGTGTAAGGTGGATAATGGTGCACATTTGGGGTGTAAGGTGTGTAACGGTGCACATTGGGGTGTAAGGTGTGCAATGGTGCACATTTGGGTGTAAGGTGTGGATTAGGGGTGCACATTGGGGTGTGAGGTATTAGGTGCACATTTGGAGTACAGAGTGTGTATTACGAGTACACATTTAAGGTGCAAGTTGTGTAATGGGGTGCCCATTTGTGTGTAATGAATGTATTGGGGTGCCCATTTGGGGTGCAAGGTGTGTATTAGGGGTTCCCATTTAGGTGTAAGGTGTGTAATGGGGTGCACATTTGGGGTGTAAGGTATGTATTAGGGGTGCACATTTGGAGTATAAATTGTGTACTGGGGTGCACATATGAGGTACCAGGTGTGTACATTTGAGGTACCAGATGTGTAATGGGGTGCATATTTGTGTGTAAGGTATGTATTAGGGGTGTGCATTTGGGGTGTAAGGTGTGTAATGGGTGCACATTTGGGGTGTAAGGTGTGTAATGGGGTGCACATTTGAGGTACCAGCTGTGTAATGGGGTGCATATTTGGGTATAAGGTATGTATTAGGGGTGCACATATGGGGTGTAAGGTGTGTAATGGGGTGCACATTTGGGGTGTAAAGCGTGTATATGGGGTGCCCATTTGGGGTGTAAGGTGTGTACTGGGATGCACATTTGGGGTGTAAGGTGTGTAATGGGGTGCACATTTGAGGTACCAGGTGTATAATGGGGTGCACATTTGGGGTGTAAGGTATGTATTAGGGGTGCACATTTGGGTTGTAAGGTGTGTAATGGGGTGCACATTTGGGGTGCAGGGCACGTATTAGCCATCAATACCTGTGAGGGGAAGGAGTGAGAGCAGGAAGTCCAACTGTCAGGTGTCCTCCCCTGGGTGGTCCTGGGTCACCAGGGGCTGCCCTGGGGGTGTAAGGCCGGGTGGGCTGAGCAATGTGTGACGACCCCACTCTTTCCTGGAAGGGTGGGCTCTGGCAGCAGGTCTCTGTGTCCACACACAAAAGGAGGTGAGGAGAAAGCTGAGAAAGCACCGTCTAACTGCTCAGGAGCTCAGAGAAGAGGCAGAGGACGAATTCACTCAGGTGAGGCAGGGAGGCCTCAAGGGGATGCCTCATAGAAGAGGCAGGATTTTAACTGGCCCAGAAGGAGGAGTAAGGTTAGATAAGGGGAAAAGTGAACTCAGCATTTCCCAGGCAGAGGCAAGGACCTAAGGACAAGTTGGGGATGTGGGGGTGGAAAATCACATTTGAGAAATGGAAATAATTCAGACAGGTCCAAGGTATTTGAGAAGAGACGGAAAAGGGGGCTTGCTATGCTCTGAATGCCTGTGTCCCCCAAGCTTATATGTGTGACCCTAACAAAAAACCCACCGAGTCTTACTCTGTCACCCAGGCTGGAGTGCAGTGGTGCAATCTCGGCTCACTGCAACCTCCAACTCCAGGGTTAAAGCAATCCTCCCACCTCAACCTCCTGAGTAGCTGGGACTAAAGGTGCACGTCACCATGCCTGGTGAATTTTTGCATTTTTTTGTAGAGATGGAGTTTCGCCATGCTGCCCAGGCTGGTCTTGCACTCCTGAGCTTGAGTGATCTGCCTGCCTCGGCCTTTCAAAATGCTAAGATTACAGGCATGAGCCACGGCGCACAGCCGTATCTGCTGTTTTGAAGAACATCTAGACTACTTGGCTCCTTGTATTGACAGTTGTTCATGGTCCAATGGATGAGCTGAACTTCAGGATGACTATGGAAGTTGATTCTGAAAAGATCTGTTTTCAAAAATGTAGAGTGGCAGGTTATACTCCTTAGAGACTCTATGTCTATGACTCAAGTCCTGTTTGTGTTGCTGAATCAGTCAGTATCTGCTATGCAGGCAGTGGTTTGCCTTGATTTAAGGAGATCTACAACATCCACTTGGGAAATGGAGTCGGTAGAATTTATTTATTTACCCCACAGAATTCTTTACTTGACTTGAATGTTGGTGGTCTGACTTAACCAAATAATGATCTATATATTTATATAATATATTATATAGAATGTATGTAAAAGTGCACACTGATGCATATACACACATATGCACACATATACATTCATACATATATGTACACATATATACATGTGCACACATACACATGCATGCACACACACAGCACACACATGCACAAAATTGCTCCTATGGAAACTAAGGGTGACATCTGTTGCTTGGTGAACTTACTCTGTTACTGTGTC
Source organism: Homo sapiens (assembly GCF_000001405.40). NCBI lineage: Eukaryota > Metazoa > Chordata > Mammalia > Primates > Hominidae > Homo > Homo sapiens. Next base: position 3,677,182 of record NC_000010.11, on the reverse strand, counting down.
TGTGCTGATTCAAACACCAGCAAAAAATCACCCTGCTCAGCTCCAGGGAGCTTTGGAATCAGAACGAACAAAACTAAATCTCTGCTCTGCTGTGTCCTAGCCCAGAAACACTGGGCAAACCCTGTCCCCACTGAGCCTGAGTTTGCTCCTCTGCTTTAAGAATTCAGTGGTACCTTCAGCTTGTCCTGCCGTCTCCCAAGTGCACCTGCCGTAGGAATGGGTATTCTCTGCTCCCAAGAGCTCTCAGACTTGCCCCTGAATTTATACAACAACTTTGTTGAGATGTGATCGAGGTGTAGCAAAATGCATCCATTTTAGGTGCACGGTTTATCAAGATCTGGAACGTTTACATTGCCCTTCAGGTGCTTGGTGACTCTCTCTAGTTCATCTTCTGCTTTTGTCTGCCCCAGACACCCACTCACTGCTTTGCATCACACTCGATGAGTTTGGCCTCAGCTAGAATTTCATATACACAAATCACAGGCTGTGGCCTCCTGTGTCTGTCTTCTTTCACTCGGTTGAAATGCTCTGGCCTCTGATCATGTTGTTGCATGTCATCAGTGGTTTGTTTGTTTGTTGTTTATTTTAATTAATGAGAAGCAGTCCACTCTACAGGTGTCACAATTAGTTCATGCATTCACGGGTTGATGGATATTTAGGCTGTTTCCGGTTTGGAGCTCTAGCACTTTGGCAAGCGTGTATCTAACTTCATATAGTAATTGTGTGTTTAGCTTTATAAGGAATTGCTAATCTGGTTTGCAAAGTGGCTGTGCTTGCTCCAGGTGCACACCTGCACTTGTATCTTCATTTGCTTTTTTTTTTTTGAGACAGAGTCTCGTTCTGTTACCCAGACTGGAATGCAGTGGTGCGATTTTGGCTTATTACAACCTCCACCTCCCTGGTTCAAGCAATTCTCCTGTCTCAGCCTCCCAAGTAGCTAGGATTACAGGCGTGCACAATCACGCTGGGCTAGTTTTTGTGTTTTTAGTAGGGATGGGGTTTCGCCATGTTGGTCAGACTGGTCTGAAACTCTCAGGTGATCCGCGCACCTTGGCCTCCCAAAGTGCTGGGATTACAGGCATGAGCCACCGCGCCCGGCCCGTTTGCAGTTAATGTTGGTCTTGGGCCACCGTGATGGGTGAGGATGCTTTCCCATGGCGGTTTTGACTTGCAGCTGTCCAGTGACTGACGGCAATGAGCATCTTCTTGAGCTTCCTGGTCACTTGTGTCTTCTTGGGGTGAAGCATCTGTCTGATCACATCTCTTGCCGTTTCTGATGGTAGGACCTATGTATTATGAATATTCTCTGTATCTGTGCCTGTGTTTTCATGTCTTAATAATGCAAAGGTTGTAAATTTTTATAAAGATCAACTCATCCGTTTTTTTAAAATTTTATGTTTTTCTCTCTTGCATCTTGCCCATAAAATCTTCGCCTAGGACTGAGTTAGATTGAGTTACAGCAACTCATTTCTCCTAGGTGTGCTTTTAAAGTTTAATAATTTTAGGTTTTATGTTATGATATTCATTTGTGTATAATGTGAGGTAAGAGTTGAGGTTCCCTTTTTTTCACTTGTTATCCAATTATTCCAGCACAACTTGCTGAAAAGAGTGTCTTTCTCCACTGAATTAATTTAGCACGTTTCTCAAATTATCAATCAGTCATACATATGTGGCTCTACTTATAAATTTTCTATCAGTTTCACTATCAAAATGTCTATCTTAGTGTCATTGATTATGTGACATTAGTGTCGCATAGTCAATTACTGTAGCTTTCTTTTTCTTTTTCTTTCTTTTTTTTTTTTTTTTTTGAGACAGAGTCTCGCTCTGTTGCCCAGGCTGGAGTGCAGTGGCGTGATTTCGGCTCACGGCAACCTCCGCCTCCCGGGTTCACACCATTCTCCTGCCTCAGCCTCCCAAGTAGCTGGGACTACAGGCGCCTGTCACCATGTCTGGCTAATTTTTTCTATTTTTTTTAGTAGAGATGGGGTTTCACCATGTTAGCCAGGATGGTCTTGATCTCCTGACCTTGTGATCCGCCCGCCTCAGCCTCCCAGAATGCTGGGATTACAGGCGTGAGCCACCACGCCGGGCCAGCTTTCTTTATAGTAAGCATCACATTTGGGCAGGTTAAATCCTGCAGCCCTGTTTTTCTTTTTCAGAATTATCTTGGCTACTCCAGGATTTTTTTTTGTTTCCATGGAAATTTTAGGTTAAGCTTGTCTAAGCCTACAAAAAGTCTTGGTGGGGCTTTAATTGAAATTGTTTTAAATCTATAGATCAATTTTGGGGATGATAGCATCTTTGAAATATTGAATTCTCTAATCTATGAACCTAGTATAACTCTTCATTTATTTAGGGCCCCTATAATTTTTCAAACAACATTTTATGGTTTTCAGTATAAGATCTTACACACGTTGTTAAATTTATCCTTAAATATTTTACTTTTTTGGATGTTATTGCTAATGGCATTAAAACAAATGTATTTCTATTGTTTGTTGCTAGTGTATAGAAATGTAATTAATATTGAATATTAATCTATCCTGTGAGCTTGTAAAAGTATTTATTTATTAGATTGAACATCTTTTTAAAAAGAATTCCTAGAATTATCTCTGCAAACAGTATGTTGGCTGTGGCTAAATACAGTTGTACTTCTTCCTTCCCAACCTGTTTCCCTTTTATTTTGTTTTTCTTGTCTCTTTGCACAGCCTAAGACCACCATTAGATGTTGAATAAAAGGACTGAGAGCAATTTTTCTTGACTCACTCTTGATCATATGAGAAAATAATTCAATATTAGACAGTAGATATGACGTTAGCTGCAGGTTTTTCATAGATATCCTTCATCATATTGAAATGTTTCCTTTTCTTCTTAGTTTGTTGATTGTGATGATTACAAATTGATGTTAAATTGTGTCGATTGCTTTTTCTTTATCAATTGAGACAATCATATGATGCTTATCTTTTTTCTTCTTCTTTTTTTTTTTTTTTGAGACAAAGTCCCACTCTGTCGCCCAGGTTGGAGTGCAGTGGCGCAATCTTGCTCACTGCGAGTTCCGCCTCCTGGATTCAGGCTATTCTCCTACCTCAGCCTCCCCAGTAGCTGGGACTACAGGCACCCGCCACCACGCCTGGCTAATTTTTTGTATTTTTAGTAGAGACAGGGTTTCACCGTGTTAGCCAGGATGGTCTTGATCTCCTGACCTCATGATCCACCCGCCTCGGCCTCTCAAAGTGCTGGGATTACAGGCGTGAGCCACCACGCCCAGCCCTGTTTTCTATTGATATGGTGAAATACACTAATTTTTGACAAATGAACCAACCTTGCATTGTTGGGATTAATCCCACTTGGTCATGAGGGATTGTCTTTTTTTACATATTATTGGATTTGATTTGCAAATATTTTATGAATAAATTTTCAGGTACATTGTAAGGAATATTAATCAATGGCATTTCTATCTTCTTTATCTAATCTTTTTATAAAGATAATTAATTAATAAAATAGGTTCAAAAGTAATCCCCTTTACAAGATTTTCCACAACTTTTTGAAAGAGCTTACATAAAACTGGTATTGTTTCTTCTCAAAGTTTTTACAGAACCCACTGATAAATCAATCTAGGTCTGGACTCTTCTTCATCAAAAATTTTAAATTAAGAAGCCAATTTAAAAAATAAATCTAGAGCTAGTCATAGTTTCTATTACTTCTTGTGTCAGTTTTTGATAACGTGTCTTTCAAGTAATTTCTCAATTTTATCTAAAATTGTTGAATCTATTGGCATAATGCCTACATATTTCTTTGTATTTCTTCTAGGTATATTAAGTAGTTATGTTATTGTAGTTTGCAACAGATCACTAACTTCTTGACAAAAGGAAAGGGTGAAGAAACTTACAGATTCAGATTTTATTTTATTTTTTTGAGATGGAGTCTCACTCTGTCACCCAGGCTGGCGTGCAGTGGTGCGATCTCGGCTCACTGCAAACTCCGCCTCCTGGGTTCAGGCCATTCTCCTGCCTCAGCCTCCCAAGTAGCTGGGACTACAGGCGCCTGCCGTCAAGCCCAGCTAATTTTTTTGTATTTAAAGTAGAGACGGGGTTTCACCATGTTAGCCAGGATGGTCTCGACCTCCTGACCTCATGATCCACCTACCTCAGCCTCCCAAAGTGCTGGGATTACAGGCGTGAGCCACTGTGCCTGGCCTAGATTCAGATTTTAAAAGAAATTACCAGTTAAAAGTCAATTTGAAATTTTCATTTCTGAAAATTGTTTGTAAATCAATTAAATAAATAGGATTCAGGCTGGGCATGGTGGCTCACGCCTGTAATTCCAGCACTTTGGGAGGCCGAGATGGGTGGATCACTTGAGGCTAAGAGTTTGAGACCAGCCTGGGCAACATAGTGAAACCTCATCTCTACTAAAAATACAAAAATTAGCCAGATGTGGTGGCAGGTGCCTGTAATCTTAGCTACTCAGGAGGCTGAGGCAGGAGAATTGCTTGAACCCGGGAGATGGAGCTTGTGATAAGCTGGGATCGCAGCACTGCACTCCAGCCTGGGTGACAGAGCAAGACTCTGTCTCAAATAAAAATTAAAAAAAAATAGGATTTTGTTTGCAAGAAGTTTTGTGAAGATAAAAAAAGACAGTGAAGAAGGACACTGCAGGACGGATGCTGCATTCCGGGAAACAGCCTGAGTCGCAGAAGCTGGTTGCATGGTCTGCTCACCAGTTTAACTGAATTACAGGAATCTGGTGTAGTGCTAGTGGGAGACAGTGCCAAAAAGAAAGACGTGAATCAGACATAGAAAGCTGCAGTGACCAGGCCAGAGCATCAGAGCAAACTCCACCATCAGTGAGGACCTCTGCAGGCAGTGGTTATGCCTTGGGGACAGTGATAATTTGTTCTATAGATACAGAACCATACGCATTTTGTAGGACAGTGTGCCCCAAATAGTGGTGTGCCCAGAGATTAATTCAATGGCATCTAAATGCATATTTTTATTTTAATATTTATGTGTTCACTTTAGTGGATACAATAAATACACAACATACACACAAATCATGCTATTTAAAGAAAAAAATTGATTCATGTATAGCACCAATAATGAACAAGTATGGCTAAAAGAGAAAATCATGATGGTGACAAGAAGACGGCACTTCAGGGGCTTGAGTGCACTGACTTTCAGCTACTCCCCAGGAATCAGAGCAATAGTAAAAATGGCTAATATTCACATAAACCTTGCTGTGCATTAGAGACTCGTAGCGGTTCTCACTACAGTCCTATTTGGTAGATGCCACTGTTACCATCTCACAGGTCGGATGCCAGGGAGCAGCGAGGTGAGGGAACCAGCCCTGCAGCCAGCGTGCTCAGGGGCCACGCGTTCAATGACGATTGCTTAACTGCTTTGAATTCCACCCTCCCGAGGTCCCTCCACCACCTCTTCAAGAGGGGAGGAGCTTCTTCCCTTGGATGTTCCCTTCAGAGAAGTCTCTACTTACAGAGCTTTTCTGATTTGTGGGGGGTTTCATGAAAGTGAAATAAATTACAAAACTGGTCTGGAATCTCTTCTTACAGCGCCGTTGTAATCTCTGTGCCAGTAATCCCTTCCCTAAAGGGCCCAGATTATAAATATTGCTCCATGGCACAGCAGGGAACTTCCCTCTAATTTACTGAACTTCCTCTGTCTTTTCTCCTTTCGAGCATTCTTTGTACAGAATCATGTTAAGTACAACAAATAATACAAAATAACAGTGTTGTCCACAGCTACAATGTAAAACCAATTTCTCTGCTCCACCCCACGGTCCTTATCATTCCCATGCCCATGGCACCCAGTGCCATGTACTTGCTGCTTTAAAAGGGCATCACATTGTCCATGGGAGCTACGGATGCTGGAGGTATTCCTGTCCCAGCTCTGGATGAGAATGTTTCTGGGAGTCCGTCCAGCCCTGAGTCCCCCAGACCCCCAGATAGTTCTCCAGAGACAGCCTCTCAGGAGTGCCCTGGCTGTCCTGGGCCTCAACTGCCTGGCTAGGGCCATGATCCAGGTGGACACCTAAGCCATTGTGAGCCAGTGGATCTTCTGTCCTAGAAATCAGGAATCAGCACTGGGTGACTTGGCGTCCTGCACTAGGGCACGTGCAGGCCCTGCTGTGCCACAGGGTGAGCTGTACGATGGGCAAGTCTACGTATGACGTTGACTGATTTGGTGGGAGCATTGGGACAGCAGGGAGAAGGGGACACCAGCTGTAGAGAGAGAGAATAATCTTCAAAACCCCGACAGATTTCCATGTCCCAGTTCCATCTCCTTTGCATCCCCCAGTAAATACCCTTTATTTTTACTTAAGCTGCTCCTTCTTGGCCCCATTGACCCCGTGAGCAGCCACTCCCCGATGGACACCCTAAGCCTTGTGCTCTCTGGGGATAGTGAGTGAATTTTCTACGTTTCATCTTACTGAGACTGGCCGGCAGGTCCCTGACCTCTGGCAAATTCTGCTGCAATGATTATTCTGACTCAGTTTGTTGGTAAAACTGCCTTTTGGTAAGGGAGGGGAAAACATCACAATCCAGATCTCCTTTCTTCCTCTCAACTCCTGCGCAATGTCGTGTTGTCTTTTCTAACTTTTTTCTGCCTGCAACACATTTCATGTGTCCATTCATTTGTTCCTTACTTCCTTTCTTTATTTACACATTCGACAAATACTGATCATATGCCCACTACGTGTTGTTCCAGGGGCATGGGGGATCCACCGAGAACGAAACAAGTGCAAGCCTCTGCCTGGTGGAGTTTGCGTTCTTGTTTGGGGAAACTGACCAAATACAGAAGTCATGAGGAGCAGCCTGTTAGAAGGTGAATGGTGCTGCGGAGGAAAGGAACAGCAGGAAGAAGGACGGAGAGCGGGAGACAGGAGGTGAGGAGGTGGAGAGGCAAGTTACGCAGATACACAGCAAGAGTGCTCCAGGCAGGAGGGGCCCCTGTGAAGGCTGCAGAGCTTGAAGACACACAAGGAGGTGGCTGGATCCAGAAGAGCAGGAGGAGATGTTGTCAGAGGGACGGAGTGGTGGGTTTGTGGGGCATCTGAAGGCCAGTGGGAGGACTTTGGCTTTTGCCCCCAGAGACATGAGGAGGCCTTTGGGAGCGTGGAATAGCAGAGACACATCTGAATCATACTTTCTCTCTTCACTCTGACTGTCATGCGAAGAAGGGGGGTTGGGGTTGAAGGCTACAGAGGGGTGAGGTGAGGAGGTCACGGTGTGCCGGGTGACCCCTCCCAGGGAGGCGGCAGCAAAGGCGCCAAGACCTAGGACTCTGGGTCCTTGTTGCAGGCATATCTAGAGGGATGATTGTGACGGCAAGAAGGCAAGGCTGGCAGGGAGAACACGTCCAACCTCATATCCCCTCTGTGATGGTGTGAAAAGGTCAGACCAGCGATAGGCTTGGGCGCCATATCAGTGTCTTCCTCTAGTAAATAACGGAGACAGCGGCAAGCAGTTCCATGTGCATGTGGTTCTTAGCACCCACATACCTAACCTGACTTTTCATGTATTTATTTTTGTTGAGACAGAATTTCGCTCTGGTTACCCAGGCTGGAGTGCAATGATGCGATCTCAGCTCACTGCAACCTCTGCCTCCTGGGTTCAAGTGATTCTCCTGCCTCAGCCTCCCGAGTAGCTGGGATTACAGGTGCCCGCCACCACACGCGGCTAGTGTTGTATTTTTAGTAGAGACGGGATTTCACCGTGTTGGCCAGGCTGGTTTGATTCTCACTTTGATTTATTTGAGGAAGCTTGTATTATCATTCCAATTTAGAGATGAAGAAACGGGGAAAAGAGTTTAGTTGAGTTGCCCAAGGGGACATAATTTGGATATGATGTCACAATTTAAACCCAATGTGAGGAGCATCTTGCAGAGTTGCTGTGAATAGCGAAGAAAAATGCAAGCGACTTCAGGGTTTGAAAATATTATATGAGTTTGTACGAAGATGTGCTATTTACAAAACACGCTTGTTTCTCAAGCCTTATTTAGCAATGCTAGGTATGTTTTTTTCTGATAGCAGTAAGAACAGGAAGGAACAGATGAACAAAGAGACCACAGGCACATTTGATGTGTAGTATTTCCATCTTTGGGGATGTTACAGCTATGTGACTATCTATTTAATTCTACATTAACATAACTTTATTTGACTCAGAAAATCAATAGACTATTTTTCCAGGCTGCAGTTTGGCAACAACCTATGGCCTGAGAATCGAATGACTTAAGATCCATCCTGGCTTCCCCGCCGGCTGAAGTGCAGCCTCTGGGCAGGCGACCCGCAGAGTTAGAGCCATCTGAGTCCCGGGCCAGCCTCACCTCCAGAAGGTGATGCCTGCTCTTTGTTTTCAGACCACACAACACACACAGGGGCGGGGCTTTGCAGAGCGCTCTGGCCTCCAACACGTATCACCTATACGCTAAACAGTTACTTTTCCTGTATTGTGTAACTTACCCAGAAACTTGCGTTCAGCAAGCCTCCGGGGATAAAAATACAATCCTACCGTGTAAAAATATCCTTTCTTCTCGGATTTTCTCTACCCCTTCTAGAGTTTCCCCCAGGGCAGATGCAAGGGGGCACTCTCCTGGGCCTCAGCCTGCCTGGTCTCCCTGAACTGAAGCCTGCTCGACAACAGTACGGGATTGCACAACACCCCCGCTCAGCTCCAGCCCCCGATCTGGAAGCTGCTGAAGAGAGAGATACCTCGACTTTTATCTGATTCTCCAACTCTCCGCATTCCAGAAAAGCAACTCAAGATCTAATTTGCTTAGTCATTTAGTTGAAACTGCAGTAAGAGAGGTGGCAGAGAAAGTGAAGCAGTAGCCAAATTAGATAAGGAAAAAAAAAAGTGAAAACATGTTTCGTTTTGTTTTTTTAAGATTCAAATAAAAACCATGATTTATTTATTTATTTATTTATTTTTTATTGCTCAGGATTAATTTCCCTGCTGTTTAAAATGTCCACAAAAGGCTGGGCACGGTGGCTCACGCCCGTAATCCCAGCACTTTGGGAGGCCAAGGTGGGTGGATCACGAGGTCAGGAGATCAAGACCAGTCTGGCCAACACGGTGAAACCTCGTCTCTACTAAAAATACAAAAATTAGCCGGGCATGGTGGTGGGTGCCTGTCATGGCAGGAGAATCACTTGAACCCGGGAAGCAAAGGTTCCAGTGAGCTGAGATGATGCCACCACACTCCAGCCTGGGTGACAGAGCGAGACTCCATCTCAGAAAAGAAAAATGTCCACAATATGCAGTTATGGGACAGAAATGACCCTGTCCACCTCTGTATTCATTCCTTCATTCTCCTTTCACTCGGAGGGCGAGTATAAAGTCCTCGCAGTACATGGTGCCCTGGAATAGAGACTGCATTTCCATGGAGATTTAGGGGAAAATGCCAATTAGTGTCTGAATCTTCTTATCACCGCTCAATGTAATGAAACGAAACAGGCATTCCCCAAGTGCCCATGGTACCTATGCAACGCCAACCCCTAGTTTGGGTAGAGCAGAAAAAATTCTGAGAACAGAAAAACCAAGTGTCTGTCCAAATGGTTTGTTATAAGAGAACAAACTTCACTTTCTGCCTCGACGACTTGTGGGCACGCAGAGAGGAGGCTACCAGGAATCTTCTGCTGTGGATTTTCACCTGAGCTGTAAGTGTGAGCACCTCCCTCCTTAGTGCTCGGACTTGGAACAATCAAACCTTGGGCTCTCCGGCATCACAGAGACAAGAAAAGCTTTTCTCTGTTGGGTAAATTATTAATCGTGGCACTGTATCCCCCTTGACATCAATAAAGTCACGACAATCAATTTGTCATGGTCCAGTGTGTGCTCATGACCGACTTGCCCTGTAATGTAGGTCAAACTTGGATTTGATGCTCTGATAACCAGAGACGTGGGATGAAAGTGGGGTTTCTCCTGGTCTGGCAGAACATGGCTTCCATGTCTGAAGCTTCCAGGAGGCAAAGCACATCGGCAGAGCAGGGAGCTCAGCCCTCGACGCGGGGCAGAAGAGCCACAATGCAGGAACTTACTATCCACAGTCACTACCACGCCGCTGTGGTTGCACCCAGGGAAGGAAGTGGAGAGAAAGGCACGGCTGGCTTGGAACTCCTGCTTCTGGTTCCGTTTTGCTGCATCAATAGGTGAAAAATAACTTTTTTTTTCCTCTAAGGAGAGAGTATCAGAATAGAAATAGTGTATCCTCCAAATATATTTCAGAAACAGGGAAAAAAGGAAAAATGCTTAATCAATTTCTCTTAAAAAAGAAAAAGAAAAAGAAAAAGAAGCAGCAGCCAGCAGGCAAGTGCGGTTAAGAGTGACTGAGCTGGCTTTTCCCCTCTGCCAGGCTGCCTACCTGTGTGGGTTGGAGCCAGCCCTGCAGTGCAAAGCTGGGTGGGCAGAGCCTACCTACTCCTTTTCAGCAGCAAGCCTTGTGAATGGCCCGGCCGGGGCAAATAAGCCAGGTGACTGTGGTGAAGCTTCCTGGGCATCCACCTGCCCCCATCTGCCGTGTTCCCTGCACTTTGAGGCTTCCAGGTGTACAGCTATTTGAAGCCACTCAGACACCAGGGTTTGCCTCCATCTGCCGTCCTGGGGAGACACTGGCTGCTCCTGACATGGGTGCTGGGTCTGCCTGGAACAGCCAGAGGCGTGGCCTCACCAGCATCCTCTGAGCTGGGTGAGCTGCAGGCAGGGACTCTTCTGCAGCCAGTCCCGAAAAGAGCAGGACACGCCTGTGGGAATGGCGCGGGTCTTCCACACCGAGTCTCTGTGCATTGTCCGAGACCACCTCCACGGGGGGAACGGCTCGGGAGTCAGGCATTGTCCGAGACCTCCTCCACGGGGGGAACGGCTCGGGAGTCAGCCAGACTGGGTTCAAGTCCGGGTCACCACTTAGCAACTGTGTGTTTTGGGCAGTTTATTTAATCCTGTGTGTCTCAGTGTCCTCATCCGTGAGACAGGCACCTTGATGTGCGCAAAGGTTAGTTGAGATAATATGAGAACTCCCAGGCTGAGGGTATTTCAGTGACCATGGCTGAATAATCAGCATCCAGGGGCCCAGAACTACAGGTCACAAACATGCACCGTATTCTGCTCACGGGTTCTGTAGCCAGGAGCTCCCGCACGCACAGAGCGACCACTTCTCTCTGGTCCTCAGGGTCTGGTGGCCCCAGGGCCAGGGCTGGAGTCTTCCGCAGGAAACTGCCCACCTCACTCATGGCTGCAGGATGCTGCTATTGTCTGGGACCTCAGCTCGGCTGCATCATGTCCCCCAAAATCCAAATCCATGTGCAGACGTCCTGTCCCCCAGTGCCTGAGAATGGGACTGTTTGGAGACGGGGGGCTTTAAAGAGGTGATTAAGGTGAGGTGAGGTCACTAGGGTGGACTCTAGTCCCATCTGGCTGGTGTCTTTGGAAGGAGAGATTAGGGCACAGACACAGGCAGAGGGGTGACCCTGTGAGGCCATGGCAAGAAGGCGGCCGTCTGAAGCTGCAGAGAGAGGCTTCCGGAGGAAGCAACTCTGAGGACACCTTTATCTTGGACTCCCAGACTCCAGAATTATGAGAATACAGGTTCCTATCTTTGAAGCCTCCCGGCCTGTGATGTGTTGCCGTGGCAGCCTGGCCGACTCTCACTGGGGGACACTGGGAGCGCCCTCTCCATGGCCTTGGCTCCCACTGGCTCGGTTCAAGAGGCCAAGTGATGTCTGCGTGGGGCGTCAGGGCCCACAGCTCACGTGCTGTCAACAAGGCAGACACTGCAGCATCTCTCACCTGCCTGGGGTAGCTCAGCCTCTCGTGCCACCATGACTGTGAGCCATGAGCCCTCCCAAATGCAAGGGGTGAGTGGTCCAAGGCTGCGTCTTGATGGGGGAGGGGGCGTTTCCAGAAGAGAATGTGGGACAGGGATGACTGAGGCCAGTTTCAGAAAACCGTGCCTGGCATGGAGGTTTATGTCATAAGCATTATTTATGACATAAGGCAAATAGACCACAGAGCCTTTTCCTCCCAGGCTGGGCGGTATCTGGGGATGCTCACTGCTCCGTAGTCGCCTCGGGGTCCATCCGTGTCATCACAATCGACAGGATTTCCTTCATTTCATGGCTGAAAAGTATTCACACACTTCTTCCTGGGCTCCAGCAGTGGTGGCACCTTGGCACCTCCCTTGAGAAAGGTTTAAGCTGCACCTCGGACCAGCTGCCTCATGCTGAGACTATGCTGGTCAGTGCTACCATCGGTGTGTGGCCACCTGATGCCAGTGGAAAGCCCTAGGAGCCCACATCCCAGGAGCAGAAGCCGCAGTCTCCTCGCTGCACCCCGTGTGCTCAAAGGAGCGATCCTGAAACACCCTCCAGACGCCACTACATGCAAAGCTCGTTGTGCTTCAATAAAGGCCCCGGCAGCATCCATCAGGAGATCTCTGAACAGCCTCAGGGCAGAGCTGGAGGTCATTAGTGCCACCTGGCTCATCCCATATCCCTTTTGGAAGGCTGATCTCCAAGCAAAGGTCTTCATGACTGCTGCAGAACATGGATTCACTTGCTTATTCTATCAACAAGCAGGTATGGAATATCCACGAGGTGTCACCTACTGTACCAGGCCCAGAGTAGCAGACAAAAATGCCACTTTCCCCACCTACAGAGCTTATAGTCGAATGGGGGTGCAGACTCTATAAATAAACATGCAAACGTATTTATATTATTTACCAGCATCTTATAAATTATGACAAGTTCTCTGAAGAAAATGACAAGATGGGAAAGAAGAGAACTGATTTATTATAACTGAAGAATTTCAGGCATAACTTCATCCTTAATTCTTTTTTTTTTTTTTTTTTTTTTTGAGACACAGTCTTTCTTTGTCACCCAGGCTGGAATGCAGTGGCATGGTCTTGGCTCACTGCAACCTCTGCCTGCTGGGTTCAAGCAATTCTTCTGCCTCAGCCTCTCAAGTAGCTGGGATTACACGTGTGCACCACCATGCCCAGCTGATTTTTGTATTTTTAGTAAAGACTGGGTTTCGCCAGGTTGGCCAGGCTGGTCTTGAACTTCTGGCCTCAAGTGATCTCCTACCTTGGCCTCCCAAAGGTGCTGGGATTTCAGGCGCGAGCCACCGCAACTGGCCCTCTTGATTCTTAAAGAAAACCATTATTCAAAGTATTTACAACACTCCTACTCCACTGACCAAAGTGTAAGTATAATTAAATACACAATTATAAGGTACACAACAATGTACACAAAGATACACCACAGTGTTCTTTTGGAGAGGATGTCAGATGCCCTGACCCTGCAGAGAGGGAGCAATGCTGCGGCCCCATACGTGGAAGGTGAGGGGCTGGGGTGGAAAGCACTCTGTGCCTGGCCTTTCCCAGAGGCAGGAGCTGTGCACACACACGGATGCTGCGGCCCCATCCGTGGAAGGTGAGGGGCTGGGGTGGAAAGCACTCTGTGCCTGGCCTTTCCCAGAGGCAGGAGCTGTGCACACACATGGATGCTGCGGCCCCATCTGTGGAAGGTGTGGGGCTGGGGTGGGATGCACACTTGGCCTGGCCTTTCCCAGAGGCAGGAGCTGTGTACCCACACAGATGCTGGGACAGAAGACAGACACAGATGACTCCAGCTGGACAAGGGGAAACTGAGAGCAAGGTGCAGTAGAAAGACGCCAGTTCAGTGTTAGTAGGTGTCAACGTGTCTGAGGATCAGCAGGACAGGTGTGCTGAGGAAAGGGGCTAGAGATGGAGGAAGGCAAGTGTAGAAAAGAGGCTGGGTGTGGTGGCTCACCCCTATAATCCTGGCACTTTAAGAGACCAAGGAGGGAAGATCACTTGATCCCAGGGGTCTGAGACCAGCCTGGGCAACATAGTAAGACCCCATTTCTACAAAAACTTTTCAAAATTAGCAGAGAGTGGTGGTGCACACCTGTGATCCCAGCTGCTCAGGAGGCTGAGGTGGGACCCCAGTAGGTTGAGACTGCAGTGAGCTGAGATCGTGCCACTGCACTCCAGCCTGGGCTACAGAGCAAGACTCCGTCAAGAAAGAAAGAAAGAAAGGAAAGAAAGAAAGGAAAGAAAAAAAAAGAAAGAAAGAAAAAGAAAGAAAGAAAGGAAGGAAGGAAGGAAGGAAGGAAGTAAGGAAGGAAGGAAGGAAGGAAGGAAGGAAGAAAGAAAGGAGAAGAGATGAGAAAAGAAGAGAAGAGAAAAGAAAAAAAAGAAAAGAGCAAAGAAAAGAAAAGAGAAGGTTTGAGATGGAGGTCATGAGGAGTTCCAGGTCTGAGTGATGAGAGGTCTGTAGCAGGACTGTGGGGTGGGTGGCGAGTGGCACTGAGGGATGGAGAGCCCTAGACATGGTGCCCTTTCTTCCTGGACCTATGAGCAGTGCTGGGCAGAGTTGATGACTCTTTCCCCCCAAATCCCATTCCTCCCATTGCTTCCGATGCAGCCACCCTCCTGGTTTTCCTCCTGCCACATGGGATTTTCCTTCTCCAATCCCACTGGGGCCTCCTCCGGTCTCTAAGGTCTTAGGACAACACCCCAGATCTCTTATCTCTTTTTCCTGGTGGTCTCATGCATTCTCATGGCTTTTAGTGCCTCCACAGCTGCTGAACCCACAGGGATACAGCCGGCTCAGACCTCTCTCCTGAAGCCCAGATCCCTACATCCATTCGCCTACTTGCATTTCTGCTTGAATCTCTTGTGGCTCACACTCGATCTGTTCAAGACAAAATCAGTCTTTCTCCTGACATCTTTGTTATCCATCACTTCATAACAATATTAATACCAACTTAGTGACTTAAAACAATGTGCTTTTGTTTTGTTTATTTTTAATTGACAAGTAAAAATTCTCTATATCTATGGTGTATTATGTGATGTTTTCACATATGTGTACACTGAGTGATAACTAAGTCAAGCTATTAACATGTGCATTACCTCATATAATGTGTGGTGAGAATGCCTAAAACCCACCTTCTTAGCAATGTTAAATCAAGTTTAGTCTAAAGCTGCCTCCTTCCATATTTTAAGTTTGGCCTAAAGGTTTCTCTGTACGTAGTGAACTAAAACCTAAATGGAGATGTAAACAGACTGTAGCCTACTCTTGTGCCAATCACTGAGCTTTTGCCAAGCAAAGGGGGCCAACTGTTCAAACCATGTGCAACGGAGGCAAATGCCATGCTGTAACCAATGCAGCTGTTTGTGTACCTCACTTCCTTTCTGTTTTCTCTCCATAAATCTTCCACCCCATGGCTGCGCTGGAGTCTTTGAGCCTCCTCTGTCTTGGGAGGCTGCCCAATTTGTGAATTGTTCTTTGCTCAACTAAACTGGGTTAAATTTAATTTGGCTAAAGTTTTTCTTTTAACAGAAATTTTCGAGCATACAAAATATTGTTATTAACTATAGTTACCATAATGCACAATAGATCTTTAACTTATTTCTCCTGTCTAGCTGAAACATTGTACCCTTTGACCAACATCTCTCCAATTTTCCCTGTACCCGCACCAGCCTCTCTTCTCTGCTTCTATGAGTTCAACTTTTAGATTCCACATACCAGTGAGATTGAGTGGTATTTACCATTCTGGGCCTGGCTTATTTCACTTAGCATAATTTTTAATTCACATAGCATATGTCAATTAGCATAATGTCCTCTAGGTTTGTTCATGTTGTCACAAATGACAGCATTTCCTTCCTTTTCAGGGCTGAATAATATTCCTTTGTGTCTATGCACCACATTTTCTTTATCTTTCATCCTTTGCTGGACACTTAGGTCGATTCCATGTCTTGGCTGATGTGAATAATGGCGCATGTGAGTGCAGATATTTCTCTGACATGTTGATTCCAGTTCCTTTGGGTATATACCCAGTAGATAGACTGGTCAGTCGTATGGTAGTTCTACTTTAAGTTTTTTGAGGAACTTCCATACTGTTTTCCATAATGGCTGCTCACAGCATGGGAAGTTGCTTCTTCAAAGCTGGCAGGAGTGAATATTCCAACAGGATGAGCTACAGTCTTATGCATAAGCATAAGTCATGTATGCATAAGCATTTAGTCCTGTCACTTTTGCCGTATTCTGTTGGTGAGAAGAACTCACAGGTCCAGCCTACAGGGAAGGGGGAAGGGGAGTGAATCACACAGCAGGTGACACCAGGCAGCTGCAACCACAGGCGACTCTGGAAATTGACAAGCCCGCATCTCCTGCAGCGACCACCTACGTGGGTGGAAGCCAGACCTTCCGGTTTCTCAGGTCAAACCACTCATATCCCACATAAAGTCTGCCAGCCAACCCCACTGACACTAATTGGGACTGTGTAGCACCTGGCCACGACCCCCACCCCTTCACCACTCCTGCCCTAGGCCAGGCCCTGTCATCTCCCACCTAGAGAGCAGTGACTGCCTCCTGGCTGTGTCCTTGATTCTGCCTTGCCCCCTCAGTATCCTCTCACAATAGCAGGCAGGACGATAAAAAATGTGAATGAAAAGCAGATCACACAGCCCTGCGCAAACCCATAACGATTTCTATCCAGAGTCCAAGTCATCACAGAAACCAGCACAGGCCCCCACAGTCAGGTCCTCCCCAAGTTCCTGCCCCCATCTGACTTTCGACCTCCCTCTCCTGGGCTCTCTGGACTCCAGCCCCCTGTCTCCAGTCTCCATCTTTTTCTTTCTTTCTTTCTTTTTTTTGAGATGAAGTTTCACTCTTGTTGCCCAGGTTGGAGTGCAATGGTGCCATCTCAGCTCACTGCAACCTCTGCCTCCCGGATTCAAGCGATTGTCCTGCCTTGGCCTCCCCAGTAGCTGGGATTACAGACACGTGCCACCATGCCTGGCTAACTTTTATATTTTTAGTAGAAATGGGGTTTCACCATGCTGGCCAGGCTGGTCTCGAACTCCCGACCTCAGGTGATCCCTCGGCCTCCCAAAGTGCTGGGATTACAGGCGTAAGCCACTGCACCTGGCCTCCCACCTCCATCTTATATCACTTGATGTCATTTAACCTCTCAGCTTGCCATCTCTCCTCACCTGGATTTGTTTAAGAGCTAGTTGGCTGCACCCTTGCTGCTTCTGCCTTATCTTTTTTCCATCCAGCTAACCAAACCAAAATGAGCATTTGGAGTCCTAGACAACCATCTCTGTTTCCTTCATGGGTACTGTGAACCCTGAAAATTTGAGACAGGTCTCAGTTACTTTAGAAAGCTTATTTTGCAAAGGTTGAGGATGTGTACCCTTGCACAGCCTCAGGAGCTCCAGACGACATGTGCCCAAGGTGGTCGGGGCAGAGCTTAGTATTAGACACTTTAGGGAGACATGAGACATCAATCAATATATGTAGGAAGTACACTGGTTCCATCCAGAAAGGCAGGGACAACTCGAAGCCAAGAGGGGACTTCCAGGTCACAGGTAGATGAGAGACAAAAGGTTGCATTCTTTTGAGTTTCTGATAAGCCTTTGCAAAGGAAGCCATCAGATATGCATCTATCTCAGTGAGTAGAGGGATGGCTATGAATACAACGGGAGGCATGTTTGCCCTGAGCAGTTCCCAGCTTGAGTTTTCTTTTTAGCTTAGTGAAGAGGCCCAAGGTATTTTCCTTTCACAGGACACATCAGGTCTCCAGCCTCACCAACTTTCCATTTTGCTTTGCAAATGGCCCTAGTTATTCACCTGAAATCTCCTTATTATCCTTTAGGACTCATGCGGGAGTGGCCCCGCCATGTTCCCGGACTGCACCTGACTCCCTCAGGGATGTCGCCCTGAATCTTCTGTGTTGTAAGCTGTTTGCTCCGCGACTCTGTGAGTTCACTGAGGAGCATAAATTAAACGAGTCATTACTGTTAATGTGCTTGCCACGGTGCCCGCAAGTAGTGAGCACTATTTAATTGTTAAAAATTTATTTAAATGAAATTAAAAGGACTGTATATAGTTTGTCTATGTAATATATCCTTGGGGTCCGGCACCAGAGTGGGCAGTCAATGAAGAATGATTCAATGAACGAAGGAACCTGACAAAATACAGCTGAACAGTAACAAAGACAGAAGTCCTCGCAGGATCACAAAGGCCTGAATTTTGGAACACAAATGCAACTGACTGCCCACAGCAGTGCCTCCAGGTCCCCACCCCAGCTCTCCCACAGTAAAGCCGCTCAGGTATTTGCTTTCATGAATGGAGGGAAAGAGCTCCTGTTTACAAAGTGACTTCCTGGGATTTTTTGGCCTTCCTCCAGGCAGAAGCAAGGCTACAGAGGAAGGCCCAGCCAGGGTGAGGACC
The DNA here is from genome assembly GCF_000001405.40 of Homo sapiens. Taxonomy (NCBI): domain Eukaryota; kingdom Metazoa; phylum Chordata; class Mammalia; order Primates; family Hominidae; genus Homo; species Homo sapiens. The sequence goes on along the minus strand of NC_000010.11, from coordinate 3,658,909 downwards.
CAGACTCCTACAGGCGGTGGAGGGATAAAGTTCCGAAAGAGATTTCCCAAAGAGGGATCTCCAGAGGTCTCTAAACAGCCTTTCTCTTCAATGGCAAAAGAGCTGGTAAAGGGGTGAGTCTGTCCAGACAGCACTTCCCCAGCAAAGGGTCCAGGCAGCTCTTCACTGGAAGGCAGGTATAGAGTGAAGGCCTCTAAGGTGACCTACAGGCTTGTTTACCCCATTTATTTGCTTATCTAATTATTTTTGCAGTCCAGGCCTTGTTGGAATTATCACAATTTGTGAATTAGTGGGATCTGAAGTAATAGGGTTTCTCAGTATCTTTAATTATACTTAGGGATGGGAGGATAATTCCCTCATTTAGAAAAGAGACAAAGGGAATTAATTAAACACACAAAAAATGAGACACCACGGTTAGATACAGGAAAGGATTTCCTGCCTATGAATGTGGTTTTACATTTAAAACTGGACAGAGTGGGTGAATCTTTGAAAAATCTTTCAAAATAAGTCCTGTTTCTGGTTGTCTGGCCATGTAGGTTTTTGTGTCCTGAAGGCACAGGTTATGGAAAATCTCTGAAGACTCTGAGCTTCCTCCAGGTTTGATATTTTATTATAATCATTTTCTGAAGGGAGGAATGGTGAGACTGTGTTGTAATTATCTCCGGCTAGAGAAAGGGCACAGCGGTGGCCCATCTCTAAATGCAAGGACTACAAACAGTTACTCTAGGAGTTATCAACCGCTTTTATACTCAATTGGCTTTAAAGAAAAAAAAAAAACTAGCCTTTCTTTCACATCTAAACATGCTTTTTCCTGTGGGTTTACATTTTCTCCCCAGTCTTCCAATGGGCATTCATGAGCGCACCAGTTATTATGCAAACGCTGCTTTTGAAAGAAAACGAGGCACCATTAGATTTTGTTCAATGAAATGTTTTTGACCTACTAGGCATGTGAGGTCGGGTCATCATTTCTTTGATGACGACTCCCATCTACCCAGTTCTGGCCCCTACCAGCTACCTCTGCCCTGTGTCCTACTGGCTTTCGAAGGCTGAATGTTGACATTTCTGACCCATGAAGCTTTTACATGGAACACAGGATATCGAGAGCCTGAAATTGGCCGTGGTTGGAGTCTTCCATTATGGAAACTGGCAAAGGCTCCAAATCAGAGATACTCTCCCGCCCTCAGAACATCCACACTCACACCATGGCCCAATCCCACCTACACAATCCTCCTCCCTCAGTACTTACCCTGAGTAAAGACCAAGGAATTAATCAACCGGCAAAAACCACCTGTACTTATTATTGAAGAATAAAGTTTGCTTACAGGAAAAATGAGGCAGCATTTTAAATTGTTCTAGATTATTCCATATAACTCGGATTGCTAAGGAGACGTGACATCCCCACACTTATCAAGCTAGCTAGGAAGACGCAATATTCTCCATCAAAAAATCAGCGATCAAAAGAGTTGGGTCTAAGAATCCAATACATTCATCTCAAAGCATGTCCTAAACCCATAAACCGCCATCCACATAGGTACCAGGCTTGGAGTTTTTGCTTCCTAACACCTCCCCAAGGCTGATTTACATGTTTAACCTGCTGGATTTTCTGGAGTGAGCCAATCAGTCCTGAGGCCAAGGCCACCAAAAATTGTTTTCATAAGTGTTTTTAACCAAATGATCATTTTGGAATGAAGTTAACAGGCTATGCTATCTAGAACAATCCATGTAGTCTGAGGCTCTGTTTAAATTCCAGCTCAATGACCCAGGATTGATTTCTTTCTTGTCCCTTAGAAAAGAAGACATGTTTTCATTGACAACTCTAAAAATTAAAGTTTTCCACTCTCTTTTCTCTAAATTTCTCCTGTATGTTTTACTCATTCTTAGTATTTTAAATAGGAAATGAGAGAGGGATGGATTAAATGGTACAGGGTCCATGACACCTCCCTGGGGTCCAGACAGCCTCCCCTCCTCACCATCCCCTCCCTCCCACTCCCATTTTGCAGTGTTTACTCCCTGGAGTCCAGGCAGCCTCCCCCTCCTCACCATCCCCTCCCTCCTACTCGCACTTTGCAGTGTTTGCAATTGTTCTATTCCTAGAAAGACATTTTAAACTTAAGTACAAGAAAAAGTGCTTGTTCACGGTAAGGCGGGAAAAGACAGCTCCATTAATACTTTGTAAACGTATCACCGTCTCCTCTAATTAGGTGCCTGCAGTACCTTCCTGAAAAACAAAACAAACTGACAAACAAAAGCCTACTCTCCACCAGGCAGAAAAAAAATAGTTTAGAGAGAAATGTGATAAAATGTTTGGTACCTACTCCTTTTTAAAAATATTATGCTGCAACAATCTCTGCTTTCTGCACAAAGAGACATGAATACATCCATATTTATCACCGCCATTACATCTCATTGATGTTAGGATTGGCAGAAGGACAATGACATGAATAAAGCTGGCTGGTGAGCTAGACGAGTGGACATTCTTGACAGCTCACAGTGTTACCGAGCTCTGTTTGGCTCTCAACACCAACCTTCTGCCCCCACTGTCAATGCTGGTGCACCCAGGACTTGGATCTGGAATCCCTGCTTTTCTCCACTTACCATTTTTGATTCTGATTCTAAAGCTTTAAATACTCCAGAATTTTGTGACTCTCAGATTTCTCTCTCTACTCCTGACCTGCCTGCAAACACTTTCATCCAATTGCCTACTTGGGGTATCGATCCAGATATTGATGGGCGTCTTACACTTGACATATCCCAAACAGAATTCTATTTCCCCTCTGCCTTCTCATTCCAGTAAATGTATCAATGTCTACAGTTACTGAAGTGAAAGACCCTAAGTTGGGAGCTTCCAAAACCCAGCTCACATCCTGCTACCTCCCTCCGTCGTTCTTTCCATCACAGCATCATGCTTGCACCACGGCACTGGCTTTCCATGCGGCCTTTCTTCTCTGTTCTGTGTTCTCCATACAGCAGCTGGGGTGAGCTATGGAAAACCTTAACCCGGTGGTTTCACTCTCTTCCTGTATCCTCTCAAGGAATTCTACCCACCCTGACCTAAAGGGGCCCCCTCACCGCCACCTGCCAGCTAGCTTAGCATCCACCCTACCCCATTCACACAGGGCTTCTTGATGTATCTCAAACAACTCTAGCTTGTTCCTGTTTCAGGGCAGTTGCAGGTGTTTGTTCTTCCTTAAATGACTTCATTCCATTTTTGCACACGGCTGGTTTCCTCATGTCAGCCACATCTCGGCTTCTCTGCGGCTTCCTCAGAGAGGCCCCTCCTAGCCATATAATCTAACGTAGCCTTGGAATCTTCATCGTCCCATCACTCTGTGGTGTTTTCATCACACTGCCTCTCCCTTTCTGCTATGAAAGGTTTTATTTGTGTGTGCTGTTCATCTTTCTCCCCTCTAATGGAAGTTCTACCAGATTCGAGACCTCGCTTATTCAGCGGTGCAGCTCTTGGGTCTTGGGCAGTGTCTGATACTTACTAAGGACTTTGCCAGTGTGTGGAGAATAAAAAACTAAGTTAATGATGATTTCTTCAGTTTAAGTGAAGTCCAGAGTTGAATAAGCATAGGAGAGAAAGAGTCTTCACTAAGTTCTGCTTTTGCCAGAGGAACATTCAACTCCAGCTAAATCATGTTCTTCACCTCTCACTCTCCTTTTCTCTCTTATACACACACACACAAACACATATATACACATAAACACACATGTGTATATGTGTGTATGTGCACGTGTGTGTGTGTGTGTTTGTGATAACTTTCTGTGCTGCATTGGAGGACTCAGTTTGTTAAGACCTTACTCTTTCAACCAGTGCCCTGGTCATGTGTATGCTTATCAGAGAAAAATCATACTCTATGAAACATCAACAGGTTAGAGATAGAAGAAAGGGCTGCAAGAGAGGAAAAAGAAGCAAAGAGGGCAGAAACATTCTTGCTTTTCAAAGAGCAAAGAGTGAAATTTGGCTGCCTGGTTCATTTTGTCCCCCTTTCCTATCTGAAAAATTTCCAGAAACCTTGGGATTTCACAGTTATGTTCTGTGCTTGGCAACTCTGAATGATACAAATAATTCTTAGTAGGAAATAAAATGACTGATATACCTAAATAGGGAAGAAGTATTCTGGGATGTATAGATCCAAAAGTCTTCCAAACCAGCTTCCCATCTTGGCAAAAGAGCATAGAATCAGAATTCCTATCAGCTGACTCAGAACAGTTAGGGCAAAAAGAACAGTGGTGGCAACCTCTGCTCACACCGCCAAACATGCAGATGATCTCTGAGGGTCTGGCAATATTCACTGCAAAGGGAAATAATCAAAACGTAACATTTGCTGCATAGGTATGGGAGAGAGCATTTTAGGATGGAGCATTGCATCATGATAAGGTCTGCAGGAAAAATAAAAAAAAAGGAATGACCAATAGTCTTAAGAAAAAGCGATCACATTGGCCAGATGCTGTGGCTCACGCCTGTAATCCCAGCACTCTGGGAGACTGAGGCAGGTGGATCATCTGAGGTCAGGAGTTCAAGACCAGCCTGGCCAACATGGTGAAACCATATCTCTCCCAAAAATACAAAAATTAGCTGGGTGTGGTGGTGCATGACTATAATCCCAGCTACTTGGGAGGCTGAGGCAGGAGAATCCTTTGCACCCGGGAGGCAGAGCTTGCAGTGAGCTGAGATCGTGCCACTGCATTCCAGCCTGGGTGACAGAGCGACACTCCATCTCAAAAAATAACAATAAAAAAAAAGAAAAAAAGTCTGGGCACAGTGGATCATGCCTGTAATCCCAGCACGGTGGCTCATGCCTGTAGCCCCAGCACTTTGGGAGGCCGAGGCAGGCAGATCACTTGAGGTCAGGGGTTTGAGACCAGCCTGGCCAACATGGTGAAACCCCACCTCCACCAAAAATACAAAATTAGCTGTGTGTGGTGGTACATGCCTATAATCCCAGCTACTCGGGAGGCTGAGGCAGGAGAATCCCTTGCACCCGGGAGGTGGAGCTTGCAGTGAGCCGAGATCACACAACTGCACTCCAGCCTGGATGACAGAGCTAAACTCCGTCTCAAAAAAAAAGAAAAAAAGTCTGGGCATGGTGGCTCATGCCTGTAATCCCAGCACTTTGGGAGGCTGAGGCAGGCAGATCACTTGAGGTTAGGGTTCGAGACCAGCCTGGCCAAAATGGTGAAACCCCATCTCTACCAAAAATATAAAAATTAGCTGGATGTGGTAGTGCATGCCTATAATCCCAGCTACTCAGGAGGCTGAGGCAGCAGAATTGCTTGAACCCAGGAGGTGGAGGCTGCGGTGAGCCAAGATCATGCCATTGTACTCCAGCCTGGACAACAAGAGTGAAACTCGGGAAAAAAAAGAAAAAGAAAAAAGAAAGAAAGAAAGAAAGAGAGAGAAAGAAAAGAAAAGGAAAGGAAAGAAAAAAAAGAAAGGAAAAGAAAAAAGAAAGGAAAAGAAAAGAAAAGAAAGCCATTACAGTTAGATCAGGGCTCTTCCCAGAGCAATCCTTCTGTCTGTGGTGGAGATGTGACTTCTTCCACAATGTAGAGAAGTACTGGATGGATAAATAGTAGAGGGAAGAAAAATTATATTCTCCTTTCTTAAATTTCCCTCATAATTCAAGGGTTACTTTTTCTGGCAACATACCATTATTCTTAATAAAAGCCTCACTTGGAAACTTTGAGGTTGGAACTGGAAATAAATTCGTGTTGGAAAATGAAAGCTAGAGATCTCTCTGCAAGTCTTTCCTGAAAACATCGCTGCTGTGGTGAAGCGATGTTGCAGAGGAAAGCGGAGCTCACTGCCCCGGAGCCCGTGCAGCTGTCTGGATGGGGCTGGGGAGCCGAGTCATCTAACAGTGCCAAACCGTATCTGGAGTGCCGTTTATCGAAGCAAGTCTTGTTTTCATCTTCCCGTGATCTTATCTCCTCTTCTGTGTGAACGTTTTTGTGTAGGCACCGTCACCATTTAGATTTATTCATACATAGCCATCAGGTGCCCAGAATGTTAAAGGAAAGAGGTTTAAAGCAAAGTCTTTAATTATTATATTATTAAATATATATTATATATTACATTATAATATTACATTGTATTATTATTTAATATTTACCCTACTTTGGAAAAAATGTGAGCCAAGAAAGCAGCAAGCAAAGCTTACCGAAGAATAGCCACGCTACAACCACCTATTTGGTGTCCTGTGCTCACAGCCAGTGTCTTTCGCAGAGTAGATTAAAATTAGAGACTCAGAGCTCACCTATAGACTCACAGCTCACCTGTAGACTCAGAGCTCACCTGTAGATTCACAGCTCACCTGTAGACTCAGAGCTCACCTGTAGACTCACAGCTCACCTACAGACTCAGAACTCACCTATAGACTCAGAGCTCACCTGTAGACTCAGAGTTCACCTGTAGACTCAGAGCTCAGCTATAGACTCAAAGCTCACCTGTAGACTCACAGCTCACCTGTAGACTCACAGTTCACCTGTAGTCTCAGAGCTCACTTGTAGACTCAGAGCTCACCTATAGACTCAGCTCACCCGTAGACTCAGAGCTCACCTGTAGACTCAGCACATACCAGTCAGAGGTAATTGCAACAGAAAGCACCTGTGGCCAGTGGGAATGCACGATCCCCTAGTGCCAGGCCCACTCTGATGCTGCTCCAGGGATGCCATACCGGGCTCTGCCTTGCCTCCTGGTGGCCTGGCTCTGCCTGGGCCTTGATGACTCTGCTTCAGTTGCTGGACCATTGCAGTCTCACACTTTGCGTTGGTCCTTCCTCCCCACCCTCAGCAAAGAGTCACTGTCGGCACTGCCTGCGTTCCACTTCCTGTGGCAGGTTCTTCACCATTTCCCAAGTGCTTGTGTATGGGATGACCTCCATGCCTTGGTCATCTCCACAAGATCAACATTACACTGATCAAATCTCAGGCCAACTGCTCTGCATAACTTACATGCAATGCAGCCTAATGCCAACACCAAGGGTCAGAGGGAGTCAGGCAGTGATGCGTTCAGGACAGGCTACCCCAAATATGGCACCTTGGCATTGGAGAAAACAGCAGAAGCAAGAAGGTCACTCTCCAACCTCGTCTTGCCCTTCTCCCTGAAGCAGAGCTTTCTCCGTAAGATCTGGAGAAAGGGAACATCCTTACTTCTGACAACACAGAGACACAGAGAAGCATCTGAACAAGCAGGCTTTGCTGTGTTCTTAATGAGGAGAAAAGTCTTGCAAAACACATAGATACTTTCTACCTATATGCTACACCTATACTTGTTCTCATACGTGGTTTTGATTCAGATAAAAGTCCCTATTTTAGGGAAGCAATTTTTGTTGAACTTCAGGTAACTTAGATATTGAACCCTTGACCCTAAGGGGGTCATGAGGTCTGTTGGCTCTTACAAGGTGTCCCCCAGGAGGTGAATGGTGACATTAGAACAGGTTGATGAGGATAGACTTTATTCCATAACCTTACTGATGTTTTGCATGTATTTTTAAACTGTCCTAGGAGAGCGTGCTTGATGACTCTAATAACAAGTGGCTAGAATGGTGCCCACTCACCCCCAACAAAGGACTGCATTTGTTTGTAAAGAGAGAGAAATGAAAATGGGTGGTTGTGGTGATTATTGACCATCCATTTCAAAATAAATAGGCATCTGTAAAATTTATCAAAAAGCACAACAAAACAAGCATAAAGACCAAAAATGATGTATTGAATTTTTTTCTTTCACCTAGAAAATCTAAAATCTACCAGGGTTATTTTTGTGTGTATTAGTAAGAAAAAAAAATCATACATCTGTTTTTACTGAATGGTTGTGATTAGGTGATTGTCTGTCTCTTCTCTCTCTCTCTCTCTCTCTCTCTCTCTCTCTCTCTCTGGATAGATAAACAGATAGATAGATACCTGCAAATTGTTTAGCTTCAGAGTTAAATCATTATTTGTGATGAAATTTCTCACAACCCCATCTATACCCAATTGAGTATACTCTAGGCAAGGAAAACTAATAAGATACTAAAACAATGGCCAGCCTATTTTAACTACACAATAGGGTTAGAAAATAAGGCAGGAGTTATTATACAAAAAAAAATGGGTAAAAATCTGGACTTTGAGCTGAGTGAAGGGAATCTTGAATGACTAATTAGGACAGTTTAATCTTATTCTGGAAATCAAGGTGACACATAGGAAGTTTTCAAAAAGGGGAATGAGATAAAGAGACCTTTGCTGGTGGCACAACAGTTAACTTCGATGGGAAAATGAGGTTCAGAGCTGATTTGGGGGAGTTTGAGGACGTGTTGAAGGCTCGAATTAGAATAAGGACAGTGGAATAGGGATGGCAGAATGAACCGACGAACAGTACCGCAGGATGCATTGTGACTGGGCTATTTGGCAAAAGAGGAAATACACGTGATCACTTGGAGATTTCTACCTTGGCTGCTTGGTAGTTGGTGATGTTATTGACCACATCAGGCAATGCATTGTTAAAACCAACTGGAAGGGAAGCTTCGCACATGTGAAATTTGATGTGCCTACACCACCTCCATTTGGCCAAATCTTGCAGGCAGATAAGAATAGGGTCTGAATTTCAGGAGAGCCCTTAGGGCCCGCAGTGTAGATGATTCTCAGTTGGAGTTATTGAGAATGTTCAGAAATGATTGAAAACGAGAAGAGAAAGAAAGTACCTTGGCAAATGCATGCTTTTAGGAAGCAGACAGAAGACTCAAGTTGGGAGGGAGAGGAAAGATCAGAGAAAAGGGAAAACCAAAAGAAAGTGGAGAAGAGAAGAAGGAATGGAGGCTTTCAAGAGGGTGAAAGGGGATTCCATTCAAAATAGGAGGAGGCGGGGATGGTACCTAAAGAGAAGGTTATTGAACTGAAGATTAGTACATAGACAGTGAAGGTCCATTCGGTAGAATGGTGGGGACCAAGGAGTGAATGAAGGGTGAGGAGAGAGGGCAATGGGATATAGTTGTACTCTTTACAACAGTTTCTAGAAAAGGAAGCATCAGGGCAGTAGACTGATAATTAAATAGCAGCTTTTCCTTTGTAGAACATGGGTCATCTTCCCCACCTTGAAAGACTAATGCAAAGCTTAACTAAAGTTAGCTTTAACAAAACCCACAGCGCAGTGCCTAGAATGTAGCAAGTCACAAATTTCAACTTCTATTTCTATTCGTTTTCTGGGATTTTAAAATTATTAATAATTTTGTAAGTTTCTTATTTGTATTAGTTTTGTGCTTTTTCCTAATATTATAAATTAATAAAATTAACAATAAGAAAACAAATTATGCTGTGGGATAAAAGGGAAAACACATGAGCAGAGGAGAGGACCAAAGATACCGAGGACCTGTGTGCGAGTGGGGGGGCAAGGGTCCCGTGGGGAGTGGAGGGGAGGATTCAAAAAGTCATAGTCATTAATTTGGAAGGAAAAAAAAATCTAGTGTGTGTGTGTGTGTGTGTATGTGTGTAAAATGGTATAATTAATTTAGGGGCAGGATGGGTTTGGATAAAACAGAAAATGGAAAAAGGTTAGTTTGTAAAATTTAGAAAAACTATATTAGAAAACCTTAAAAAGGTCCCATTTCTCTGTCACACTGCTCTTTTATTTACTTCAAGTACAAGCTGTGGTTTCAGTGCATTGATTTGGGGTACTACAATTGTAGAAATGTATGATGTATAATAAAATTTGACTTACATAAAAAATATTTATGTGTAGGCATCCACAGAAATTATCACATGAAGTGGTAAGTTGCATCAAACAAAATAATCAGAGAGGGTACAGAAGATGGATGACTCGGATGCCTTGGCTTAGTTTCATTCTGGAGACAGTTTTTATGAAGATCCAGTGTGAATCCCACGGTAACTTGTCAGGCCTGGTTCCTCCTGGACTCATGTGCACCGAGGATCACGATTCTGATATTGGTTGTGAGTGACACTTCTCTTTCCAGATCTGGTATTGCGCAGGTTTCCTCAGTGGATACTTGGTGCGTGTGTGCATGCATGTTCACACATGTATGTGTGTGGGGGTGAGGTGTGCATGTGAGCTTGAGTGTGTGCATGTGTGTGTGGCAGGAACACGTGTGTGCATGTCTGTGTGTGAGTGCATTCAGGTGTGTGTATGTGTGTCCATGTGTCTGCATGGCATGCATGCATGTGTCTGTGTGTGGTGGGCACACATGGGTATGTGTGTGCGCGTGTGTGTGTGTGCACATTCAGGTGTGTGTATGTGTGTGCATGTGTCTGCATGGCATGCATGCATGCACCTGTGTGTGTGCGTGTGTGTGCATGTGTGTATATGTGAGGTGAACACCAAAGGCAGGTTTTAATTTCAAGGGTTGACCACCACGTTACAATGGAAACTGCACCACACGGCTGCATTCGCGCAAATAATTTCACCAGTATGTTTTCTAAGGACTTCTTCCTTGAGCCTTTCTTCTTGGCTGAGCTCAGCAGCAACTATATTTGGATTTCTTTTTAATCACATCTGAAGCAGGGTGATTAAATAGGACACAGACCTCAAGCTGGGAGCCTGTTCTCCCACACCTCGTGAATACTCACTCTCAGCAGGGTGCAGTATTTCCAGAGTAACTTCAGATTTACACAGATGCCTTATTGTGGACAGGCAACTTGAAGGAACAGGTAAATCTAATAGAGAAACCATTTAGTATAAACGTATTTTTTGAGGTTATTTGTATCTATGCCTGAGCTTCAAGTATGAATTAGGGTGGTCCCTGAAATAATTCAGTCTTTTGAGTTGTTCATGCCTCAGGGAGAATTTTGTCTTGTAACAGAAAGTGCTAATAGTTCATACCAGGATAACGTATCCTCTAAGTATTTTTTTACATAAACTTTTTATTGCAATACAGCTTAGCTACAAAATGTGCATATGCCTGGCATACCTGCGTATGGCGAACATTCCCAGCCTTCTTCTTAACCTTTTTTAGGAGTCTGACAACACTCTTCATTCTAGAAAATAAGTTTTCTTTTATAAGGAAAATACTTTTTGTTTCTTAGGAGATTGATGATGAGAGAGGGAAAAAAAACATTCAGTATTTTCGAGGGGTGTGCCCAGGACTTGCAGCAGGGGCAGGGGGCAAGGGCCCCACAGTGCATGACTTCAGTGCCCCCTTATCCAAGAGAGATTCACTCCTAGACCCTCAGCACATGCCCGACATCACGAATCATACTGACCACTAAATAGAACGTTTTTTCTATACCGCACATAGCTATGTATGATAATTCAATAAATTAAGCACAGTAAGAGACCCGCAACAGTCGCTACCAACAACAGCACAATTACAACAGTATGCCGGTGTCGTCACTCTTGCACTTTGGGCCATTATTACGTAAAATAGGGTGACTTGAAGACAAGCACTGTGATATCACGACAGTCGATCTGATAACTGAAGTGGCTCCTAAGGGAATAACAGGCAGGTGGCATAGACAGTGTGGATGCACTGGATAAAGGGATGGTTCACATCCCGGGCAGGACAGAGCAACTCAGAACGCGGCGCAATTTCAAACTTATGAACTGCTTATTTCTGCAATTTTTCCTTGAATGCTTTGAGCCCTCAGTTGGCCTCGGGTAACTGAAACTACAGAAAGCAAAACTGCGGATGGGGAACCAGTGTGACTGATATGACTGTGCCTCATTTTCAGAGCTGTCCGTACGGCATCAATGTTCTGTTAGTTTCCTGATGTTGATTGATATATATCTGTATAACCTGCTCATGGTTCCAAATGCAAATATTTCTACAAAGTTTATTAGGAAAACAGCAGTGTCTCAACATTCTCCCTCTATATCTCAGAGCAGGCAATTTCCAGGTTTTTCTGGCATTCTTTTGTGTATTTGCTTCCATTCTTTCTGATTAAAATACTTGTATTCCTACTTTTTTATTTTTTCAGATTTAGGCAGGATCTGTGAGCTAGCCAGCCTGGAAAATGAGCATTAGCTCTCTTGAACCCCAGTGTTCAACCACACAAAAGCTCCCGAACCTTCCTCCTTCCTCCTGCATGGCTAATGTTGGTTGCGTCAATAGTGTGTGTTCCATTGTTGTGGCTATACAAACACTACCCGAGCATTTTATTATTATGATCCCTGTCATTGTTATCTTCTTCTTGATTTCTTGACTATATTTATAGTTTTCTCTTTGTTCCTAGTAAGTATAGGAACAAATTATGATTTATTCCTATTATTATGTTCATATTAACACTATGAAACTATTTAGGACTCATTCAATAAATATGTAGTCATATCAACTGCTTGCGTTAGCAGTTGTGCTAAACACTGGGAATACCCAGGAAACCAGACAGAGCCCAGGCAGTATTCGGACCTCATAGTTTAACCGAAACTTTCTGTCGCTTGTCCACATCTCCCTTTCTTTGTTGCAGATCCATCAAGTCATCTGGTTCATGCGTCTCATCTGTGTGGTGGCTGTGAAGGACGCCCCTGGAACCTTCCCACCTGCCCCAGAATATGCTGGACATGGTCAGCACCTGGCTCCTGTCAACCTTCCATCTCCATCACCGGCCTCTGGAGATTCC